>NC_000001.11:61068986-61372016 GCF_000001405.40 Homo sapiens | reverse complement strand
AATTTTATACAGGCAACTCTTCATAGACCAATCAGAACGGGTTGCTAGCTATATATCATCTTTTGCGGCTTCTTCTACTCATGCAATGAACTTTATCCAGCACTTGTGAGGAAACTTGTGAGGGAAAGGTCTTTAGACAAGATAAAAACAAGAAAGCAAACCACATTGGGCACTACAACTAGGCTGGCTACACCCAAACCAAAGGACTATTTCCATATGTGTCTCAATAGACAAAACTAGGTTCCTCTCTGTCTTTGTCTTTCCACTTACTAACTCTCAAATGACAATTGCCACCAACCTGACCCTTGGGTGTGAAAGACAACCAAATAAGGGTATTGGGTGAAAGTTATTTACTGAATTGCTCCCTCAAGGAAGACTTTATCTATGTCTATAGCTTTTGTCAACTTAAGACAACTATCAAGTAGGCCAAGTGGCAGATAATGACATTTCTAATAAATTATATCTCTGCAAAAGTCTTCGAATGTACTGCCAGGGCAAAAATTTATGTGATCCAATATAATAAATGTGTGTCACAAAGATTTTTTTTTATTCTAAATGAAAGGTATGTTAAGGTTTCAATGCTGATAGACAAACTCATCAAAACATCAAGCACATCAAAAAAAGAAAAATTGCTAGTTAAGTCTTTTGAGGATAAGATTTCTGAAGGAAAAAAAAATCCACTGGAAGAACGAACTCTTAAAATTAGAAGCAGGTGTCAGCACCATGAAGTGATAAATATCAAAGAATAACTGGCCCTGAAAAGCATTCTTAAGCATCCCATACTACTTTTAAGCCTTACACGTGGATTTTGACATTCGAACATGAAGTGTTGCTTATATAAGTCCCTAAAGAGTGTTAAGACATGAGGGGTGTTGCACAGCCATTTTGATAAATGCTCTCTTCTGCTGGGTTCATGAAATGGCTGAAAGGCAGATGGCAAATTCTGACTGGCATTAAGTCATAAGTAATCCTGCTATCCTAGAATTCACTAATCTTGGAAGCTAATCATAGTTAAGTGATTTCTGGGTGGGGCTAACATGGCAGGGGCAGGGAAGACCCTTCAGATTAGAAATGGATATTGAGTTGCCATTCCTTGAATTTCTAATGACGTGAGTGCACTTCCAGCTACGCAAATGAAAACTTTAAACTACCTCTCATTACATACAAAGTAGACGATACCTACAGACTGGAATGTTTCTTCAAAATGAGGAACAAGATGCTTGGACCACAGTAAATCATCAAAGTGTGGGAGTATTGTCTGAATAAATACCGAACATTCACAGCTGTCTGGAAAGCCAGTTCCCCACAGTGGGCTGAGCGTGCTGGACCACAGGAAGAATTCCTCACTTGACAAAGACCAGAGAATCAAGAACCAAAGTTACACTGTATTTAAAAAACCCAAAGGTTTCAGAGGGGTTTTAATTGTTAAGAAAGGGAGGTCAGTGATACTTTACTCTGAAGAGGGAAGCCAATTAATTGTATTAATATTTAATGAGCTTTGCCATTCTACCTCAGTTTAATTTTTCAAGTTTAACAGATGCTTCAAAGTAAAGTGACGTTTTATTCCGGAAGTTTTCTTCCACTTGAGATATACTTTGTGAATCAGTGCTGGAGACAGCCCTCTTCATTTCAGTACTTGGTGTGCCATTCAGGAATCCATCAGGAAATAGTTCTTGATTTACTCTGTCGACGTGAGCATTTCTCGTAATCTTCCAGGATGTAATTCTCCCAGCATTTTGAAATGGGTGCCATGTCTCTGATTAATTGATGAGTTTATGATGTATCTAAAATCCTTGGATGGACAGAGCTGGATAAATAGGCATTATTGTAATCCTCTGCTGAGCAGAAAGCAATTGGGATGTGCACAGCCTCATGAGAAACTGCTGCACAGCAGCGTGCTGCACACACTATTGATTGACTTCTGGGATCTGCACAGACCAAGGACTTATTTCTTCCCTCTCTCCCCAATTCCCCATGTAAAAGCCACTTATTCTGGAGTGTTAACAAACTACTTTGTTAAAAACATTGATGGCCAAAAACCACAGAACTTTATTTCCATATAAACTGATGGTGCTATATTAGGTTATTTAACGTTTAAAGAGAATCATCAGTATGTAGGAAAAATATAAGACCCTATGAGAGAGGGAAATAAGTCTGCAAACAATAGTATTAGTGGTATCACTTTTTTACAAATTAAATGAATGTATATGTATGCACACATATATATTTATATATGTGTGCATATAGCTTAGAACAATGTGTGGCCCATAGTAAGTGCTCAATAAACATCAGTTATTGCTATTACTTATAAAACGCTTATATATTTAAAATTTCAGCAGCAGTGACAAAATACAAGCCAATATATATTTATTGTTAATCAACTTGTCTTGAGTCTATAAAATAGCTACACTGTGTTTATATGATAGAACGCAGGAAGTAAGATCACTAAAGTATTTTCATCTTTATATCTATGGTTAAAACTACCTTCAATTTAAGTTCTATAAATATTTAAATAATATTAGATATAGGAAAACATGGTATACTCTTAGGTAAGTCTGATCTATTATCTTTCTATCAATGATCGCTCTGTCTTTTTTCTTTCCTTCCTCCTCTTCCAACTACACTTTCTGGTTATTCTACCCTCTGGTGAATTTAATCTCCATTCAGATTAATTTTGTTCCCTCCAAGTAAATTATTTGCTTGTATTCTACCCAATCTATTATCTACAAATCAGAAAACTGTCTGTTTCAGGCAGGGGAGATTTGGGTCCATGAGTATAGTATGATAAACTGTATTTTTGTATATGCACTTCTTGAGGACTTCCTAGTATGTCAGCTCTCTAGAAGCTTCTTAGAGATGGAGTAAGATTCGACTCTGATATTACGAAACGAAGGAAACGGGCCAGTATTCACTGCTGCTCCTTTAACGATGAAATGGCTGATGCACCAGCTATTTTAAGCAGGCACAGCAGAGGACTGTGGTCTAAGCCGCTGAATAAACTCCTCACCCATATGAAGCTTGCTGTGCTCTACATCTTATCTATTACAGCCATTGGGTACTTATTTAACCAGTTACCCTTCCTTCCTTCACTGGGCTGTAAGCTCTTTGAAGGCAAGTTCTGTTTTGCTTATTTTCATACTTCTTCTATCATTTTTGCACAGTGCTTTGCATATAATAGATGCAGAGGTGTAATATATGTTATCAAATAAATTTCACAGTATCTTAAATTCATACAGTAAGTTTAGGGTTTTCAAAGTATTTACCCCCTAAAAAGGATATACAGTATTTCTTTACAGCATTTTGATTTATTAAATATACTTTGCGTATATTAAAAATATGTATAGTGCCCTGCACGATACTTTTACACAGAGCTGATGCTTAATAAATGGCAGCTCTTGTTCTTATCATCTCATTTGATCTTTTCAAAGCTATGAGTTAGGAAGGCAAGGCTGTTTTATTGTCCTCAATGTTTACATATGAGGAAATGAAAATTCAGAGAAGTAGTTTGCTAAAATTCTCAGGCTTGCTCATGGCAGAATATGAGAATGACTAACTTTTAAAATTCTTAATTTGTACTTTTTCCTCTTTAAAATACATTCTATTTCTCACTTATCTTCCTCCCCAGCAAGCCTATGAAGATTGCTGTGGTTGGAATGAAATTTGCTTTAATGTTCCTCTTTACAGTATGCTCCACCCAAGCCACACCATGAGTTGGCCACCTGAGCCACGGGGGCTGTACTGAGGATGGTGACAGGCACAGGGAGGAGGATTTCACATATAAACCTAATGTATACACTGCATCTCCTTCTTCCTCCCCTTCTAGAATATTTACACAGCTTCATTTTCAAACATGAAATTAAAAATTTGGAGATTTGGGTAATTTATTTATTCAGACAAGACCAGCTGAAATGCAGCATCTGTTTTCCTGAGAGCTTCTGCATTCACAAAATTGTACATCTGGGTTCTCCGATGCAAGCGGAGCAACGCTCATTCGTTCGACAAACGTATACATCGCTCTGCTTCTGAGCGCTTGATCCTACTCGAAGGACAAAGTGAGACGTGTGTGATCTCCATCTTATTATTTACTTATTTATTAAACAAATATTGATTGAATGGCTACTAAGTCGCCAGGTACTAGAGGCTTCAGGAATCCAAACAGTTTTCTGGATCATGCTTTATTATATATGTATATAACACATACACAGAGTATATGTGTGTGTGTATGAGAAGAATATTTCTTTTCCTCTAAGAGGTAACCTTTTAGACTCCAATTACAAGGAGCTGTTTTAGGCCCTTTTCTGACATTAAGAAAAAACAGCCTTGATAAAGAAGGCAAGGGATTTTTGAAGGGTGGTTACAGTGCTCATTTGGTAATACAGCTTTCCTGTCATAACCCCTTATTTGGGTGAAATTTCTCTGATAAAGAAGGGTTCGTAAAGAAGAGGCCCCTTGTTACTGTACCAATGTCCCCTGGTGTACCAGTCTCTAATGGGCAGGTGCCAATATGAGATCATAGAAGAGGATGTGGTCCCAGATGATGCTTTCCTACTGCTCCATAAATGCAGAAGAAAAGCCAAGACATCGATCCCATGGCAATGTTCTGTAGCAGTGACTATTCCTACTCCAGCAAGAGATGATGGGAGATTTAATCATTTTCTCTAATATATGCTAGTGCAGTGGAGTGTCCATGATCAAAGCACTATTGTTACCAGTCGCTGCCTTTTTACTGGCACTGATAATGGGTTTCCCCTGTGTCTCAGCTAGAAATCTAAGTTGGTAGACTTCCTCCACTCTTACAATTGATAAATGACTGTTGGCAGTCAAATTAGGACCAGCAGAGTTGGGAATCCAGGTGAACCTAATATGTGATATTTAAAATTACAATGACTAACATAAGTCTGCAAAATTCAACTATGCTGCCAGTAGTTGTGACACTGACCCCTAGTTCTGAATGCCCTGGGTCGCTGACTGACCAGATGTTTACCGAAATATTCTTTGACAGATGCCTTTAAACAATTTTTTAAAACTGTGTTTCTTAATCATTGTGATAGGAACAGAGAACATGTTATTAAAATACTTCATTTTTGTTTTTCAGACAGGAGTTTTGTTCTTGTCGCCCAGACTGGAGTGCAATGGCACAATCTTGACTCACTGCAACCTCTGCCTCCTGGGTTCAAGCGATTCTCCTGCCTCAGCCTCCCTAGTAGCTGGGATTACAGGAGGGCGCCGCCACGCCCAGCTAAATTTTGTGTTTTTAGCAGAGATGGGGTCTCACCATGTTGGCCAGGCAGGTCTCAAACTCCTGACCTCAAGTGATCTGCCCACCTCGGCCTCCCAAAGTGCTGGGATTACAGGTGTGAGCCATTGTGCTCGGCCTAAAGTACTTAATTTTGACCTTCAAAAATGAGAACAACTTACTCTTTGCAGAGAAATGTATCTCCAAAAGTTATTTATAAAAATAAAACTAAATTTATTCCTTATCAAATTTGACTTCAAAACTTTCACTAAACTGTTTTGAAACTTTCAACATGTTGGTGGATGTAACTGTGTCTGTTAATTGTTTTACAATCCCAGTATAATTGAAGGCATTTGGAATTTTGAATGTTTTTCTACAGGAGAAAATTTAAGTAGCTTCTTATGCATATATTTGAAACACAGTACTGAACTTCACTGAAAAGTACTGTAATTTCATTTTTTTTTACAATAAAAAAATTTGCTTTACTTTTTAGGTCTGCCAAAACTTACTGATATGTCTGTACTTAATGCAGATGCGGTCTCAAATCTGAAAGTGGTGCAACGCAGTCATCCATGAAGCCCACTGGACCCCTGGTATAAATCGTTAACTTCGGGGACAAATATAACCTGAGAAAGGCTCACAGAACAGCCACAGAGCTGCCTTTCAACTTAGGAAGAAGACTTAAATTTATATATACTAACAATCAAAAGACTAAGAGACAAGTCTCACTTTCAAGTGAGACTTGAACATTTCTCAGTCTGATTCCATCTAAATCCAGTTTAATTGCCACCTTTTAAGGAAACTATCCCTTATTCTCCAGATTTAACAGCTCTTTTCTTTTACTCCTGTGACACTTAACCCTGTCTGCTTTCAACTACCCTCAGCTGGGTAAGCCTGGCTGCCTCAGTAATCCTAATGATGATATTTCACGTGATTAGAGAATATTAATTTTCACAAAGGACTTTGGACTTCATTACCTCATCTGTCATAACTTTGTGACAGAGATGGAGCAGAAGGAACAGTTCCCACCTTACAGGTAGTGACTGACACTTGAGGAAATTCAGAGGTTTGCCCTTGGAGACAGGGACTTGCTGGAGTCCTCTCTGTATCTACTCTAGTATACTGCATACAATCAGCACTTAATAAGGATTCAACAACTTGGCTTGACTTTAATGATAATGATTAGAAGACCAGCCATTCCTTTTCATGCAGCAGGCCCTAAACTGGAGGAATATGGGACAGAGAGGGAGACAAGAGAATTGTTTTTCTTATAGTGAGGTATCTAGAGTCACCCAGAATCCAATCTTTTCTAATCTATTTGAAAATAGGCTAGATTTCTACCTATCTAGAATTGTTTTAAAGAGAACCTACTTTAACATAGAGAGAACGGTTGGAGAGCGTGACATTTAAAGTTAAGGTGGCTTCCAGACAAGTACTGAGTAGGGAGAACCCACCTAAAGGAACAAAAAAGCAGCCTAAATCAGTGCTTTGCAAAGTGTAACATGCACAAGCATCACCGGGAGATCTTGTTAAAATTCTGTTGGTCTAGGTGGGGCGTGAGATTCTGTTTTTCTGTTTGTTTCTCTTTTCTTTTGAGACAGGGTCTCACTCTGTTGCTCAGGCTGGAGTGCAATGGCACAATCATAGCTCACTGTAACCTTGAGTTCCTCGGCTCAAGCAAGCCTCCTGCCTCAGCCTCCCAAGTAGCTGGGACTACGGGCACACACCATTATGCATGGCTAATTAAAAATTTTTTTTTGTAGAGACAGGGTCCTGCTATGTTACTTAGGCTGATCTCAAGCTCCTGGCCTCAAGCAATCCTCCCACCTTGGGCCCCATGCCCGGCCAGGGTTCTCTATTTTTAGTAAGCCCCCAGGTGATGCCATGTTGCAGGTCCTCAGACCACACTTGGAGCAGCAAGGGTCTGAAGTGTCTCATATGGGTGCTCCTTACACTTGTAGAAGAGAACATTTGGTATGGAAATCTGAATTTTTCACAGGTAAGTCAGGGAGGTTGTCTATACTACATAAAATGTTCTACAAAGGATTCACTGTTGGGATTCTTAATACGGAGCTAATACTAAACAACAAACTTAGAAATAATACAGAATTATTATTTGTTTTTTTAAAAAAGGTTTGATTCACTTAAAGGAACACACTTTCAGGTGAGGGATACTTGTAATAAAGTCAATGCACTGCTGCTCGTCAAGAGGTCCTTGGCTGAGCCTAAGCAATTGTTCTGCTTACGACTTGCTAGTAATTGGATTTGACTGAAAGCCTACAAATTGAAAGTGTAGTAAACACCAATTCTGAGAGTATTCTTGATAGCAAATTCTGCTTTCAAGTTTATTGAAAGCACCCCAAATTCTCTGCTTTATCGCTTCATTCATTCAATCAATATTTATTGAATACCTATTATGTGCTAGACACTGTTATGGATGTTAGAGATACAGCAATGGAAAAGACAGACTAAGTCCCACTGTTCATGAAGTATATATTCTAGAGAGAGAAAACAGACAATAATAGCAGAGAGATGGCCTGGCGTGGTGGGCTCACACTGGTAATCCCAGCACTTTGGGAGGCTGAGGCAGGAGGATCACTTGAGGCCAGGAGTTTGAGACTAGCCTGGCCAATATGATGAAACCCTGTCTCTACTAAAAATACAAAAATTAGCCAGGCATGGTGGCATGCACCTGTAGTCCTACCTGCTCGGGAGGCTGAGGCAGGAGAATCACCTGAACCCGGAGGTGGAGGTTGCAGTGAGCTGAGATCGCGCCACTGCACTCCAGCCTGGGCGATAGAGCAAGACTCTGTCTCAGAAAAAAAAAAAAAATAGTAGATGCAGATGTAAAGAAAGCAAAACAGTGTTGTGAGTTATAGGATGATGGAGTGAGGGTCAGCAGCTATTTTAGATCACTGAGGGCCTGTGTGATGAGCTACTATTTGAACAAAGACCTAACTGCTGAGGGTTATTTGATTTTATAAATGAAAACGATAGTTTACTTTGTTAACAGTTAATACTCTTTGCTTATATATTGTGTCCTATGTATATTTAATAATCTATATTTCTTCTCTAGATTAAGTTGTATTACAAGGCTTTGGGATAAGGAAAATCGAATATTTTTCAGGTCTCTCTCATGAGTTATTTATTGTTTCTTATTATAATTTTTTTTTTTTTTGACGGAGTTTTGCTCTTGTTGCCCAGGCTGGAGTGCAATGGCACGATCTCGGTTCACTGCAACCTCCACCTCCCAGGTTCAACCAATTCTCCTGCCTCAGCCTCCCGAGTAGCTGGGATTATAGGCATGCAGCACCATGCGCAGCTAATTTTGTATTTTTAGTAGAGATGGGGTTTCTCCATGTTGGTCAGGCTGGTCTCGAACTCCCAACCTCAGGTGATCCGTCCACCTCGGCCTCCCAAAGTGCTGGGATTACAGGCGTGAGCCATCACACCCGGCTTTATAACGTTTTAACTAAAGTACCAGTCCAGGACATGAGACCCTAAAATGCTGCTCCAAATGTTTATGGTAAAAGAGGTTACTGAGTGTAGAAGATAAACTTAGACTATGAAGTCAGATTTGGTTTCAAATATGGATTTTGGATCCACAGATTTACTATCTGTGTGGGCTTGGGCAAGTCACTTGACCTTTTATGAGTCTCAGTTTTTATCTCTTTAGAGGCAGGATCATTATATTTTGCATATTTTAAAGGAGGTTAATTTTTTAAAAACCTGGTACACAGTAGGTACTCAATTGTAACTAGAATTTTTCCATATATTTGAAAGCAACATGAGTGTCTGACCCAATGTGGGCGCTGTGTATTGGTTTCTTTCCTGTTTATCTGCATTATCAATTTCTCTGTAATTCTTCATTTGTACAGATAAACAAGAGTTGATGATATGTGCATTTGTGCTTGATAGAATTTCATAGGACTCGTTTTGTCAATTCATGATTTGCTTCAAAGCTTCGTATCTAACCCAGTTTTGAGATAACTGGGAAACAAAACTAAGTACGAGAGACAAATGCAGCATTGTAAGAGAAGCGAAAGTCATTCTGAAGTTGTCTGATGTTTTTAAACTAACATCATCTTTAATCTCCTATGCCCTTCTTCCCAGATAATAAGAGCTGTGCACTAAAAGTGCTGAGATAAACTAATGGGGAACAGGATACTACAAAAGACATTTGAAATAGCCCATGTAATTTACTGCATGTCTGGTTTGTTTTACTTTCCACAATCTTCCTGTTGCTCTAGGAAATTTGTCTCTTCTGGCAACCTTTGGCCCTCTTTTGGCCAGGGAGTCCTGGAAAAGCATTTTAAGGCAGGTAAACGGAAACCAAAGCATTCTGAGTGAGGAGCAGGTACAGGCCTTGCTTCCTGTGTCACATCTGAGGCCTAAACACAGTATCCTTAGTACTTGTTTGAGAGAATTATCCCAAATGTAGGCAACCAAGAGGCTGCTGGTGCATTCAGATATACATAACTCCCAACATATTTCTGAAGGTAATTTACATGTGAACTACTAAAAGCCTCCTACTCAATTTAACTGTACCCCTGGGGAAAAGCTATGCAGGCCTGCATAAGTGTGGGAACAACATAAAGGTGCTCTCTGTGCCAAAAAGGGGATTGGGCTTTATGGAAAATCCCCAAAAAGGACCATCTGGCAGCATAAATTATCCATTTAAAATGGCTGGTGTGAGTTAATGACACCAAAGTCACCAAGAACATGTGCAACATCCTTCAGTTGAGTTTTAATGTCCCCTCAGGCCTTGTTGCAATTATGACTTTCTGCGCTTGCTGAGTATGGCCAAATGTACGTTTATCCACTGTCCTCTATCACTCCCTATAAACATATACCATGAAACTGCATTTTTCTGTAATGAAATGGGGATAGAGAATGGAGAGTCAGTCCAGGAATACAACTGTGAGGGATTCTCTAAGAATATATATGTGTACGTACACACACACACACACACACACACACACACACACACACACACACCTCTTACCAAAAAGGATTCAGCCATTAAACTTCAGTTATTTAATGACTACAAAGGATTCAGGTATTCAAATGTTAAAATTTATGATCGTTTGAATCATAATGTACAGATAGGAATAGGAATTGCCCTGAATAAAAGAGTCACTAGGTCAAAATATTCTGTAATTATCAATCAACCTCCACAGCCCCCAATATACCCAGAGGAATTAAATGCAAGGACCTAGAGCTCAGCCTCATGATGGGGGAGCTCTGAGTACCTCAACCTAATAAAGCAGCTTCAATATGCACAAAAATGCATCTACACAATAATCAAGCACAAATGTACCAAACCTATATGTTTAATTCTGATTTTCACTGAAGCAGGTAAATTGACTAGGGCTCTAATTAGCCTTTGAAAAAGGGTTCAAAGAAGTTTTCCATCTTTTAATTTTTTAATAGCACATAAACTTTTCATTGGCACTATATAGAGGTCATGCTGATGATGCGGGTAGTGGCAGTGAGAGTCAGCATTTTCCTTCTCATTTAGGGCTGGGACTATTTCTTAGGCACTTTAGGCAAACTGATGTGAACACGAATTCGGAGAAAAGATGATGTGTGACCTTCATAGAAGAACCACCACACCTTGAGTGCTGTGGTTGGTACTAATTAGAAACAGAAGTCACGGAAGACTAACACCACCATCTCTGCGCTTCCCATATCACCGTATAATGATCTGCTTATGTGTTTGTTTCCCACCTCTGACTGTGAATTCCTTGAGAGCAGGGGCCATAACCTTCCCATCTATCCTTGAGTTCCCAGAACCTGGCATAGTGCTTCATACAGAGAAAGTCCCCAGTGAAGACTATCCAATGAGTGAATGAATGAAAGACTAGGCAGAAGCAAAGCAAAGAGACATTTTTGCATTTTAATAGCAGGGGCAAGATAAAAGACACCGCCAATGGGCCTGAGGTGTTTTTGTTTTGTGTTTAATTATGATACAGTAAAATTAACTTGAGCAGGGAGGTATGTACTTCTGTGAATGTTAACGATTGTATAGATTACTGTGACCACCACAATCAGGATACAGAATGGTTCTATCACCCCAACATTTTCCCCGTGCTACACCTTTATAGTCACATCCCCTGAGCATTGTCTTTTGAAAAAAAATTAAGGGAGGAGACAAGGGAGCTAGGATTTATAGATGAAGAGGTTGGTTCAGAAATTTTCTTGGTGCTCGTCTGTACTTGCAGGGAATTAACTCTGAAGCAAAAGCTGGGGAAGGATGGCCATAGAACAGTATTTTCATACTTACTCTATGCTAGGTAGTAGCTATGCTAGGAAATAGCTATTAGTACTGTCAGATTATAAAAAGGGAGACACAGGCTCAGAGAGGCTAGGTAACTTGCCCACAATCACACAGCCAGCAGGAGTTGAAGCCAGGTTGGCACTCCAACTGTCTGATTTCAAGGCACATACTCTATCCTTTATACCCATTGGACTTGCCATATTCAGGAAGCTTTGGAGAAGATTCCCTCTAAACCACGTGTTAGACATTGGAAAGGGTTTCAAATAGTTTTTGCAATCAGACTTATCCATATTACTCCCAAGACTCCAGAGCCAAGATTAGACTACCCCAGGAGATTAGACCAGCAGTCATCATTTGTTCAGTTTAGTACAGATCAGAATAAAGAGAGTTGTTCCATTTAAATAGAAAAATAATCATGATGATATCCAGTAATAGGAAAAATATTGCAAAGTGTCCTTATTATATAAAAATCTGAGTCTAAACTATCGCAAGGAACCCATTCTTCTTTCGAATGTTATCGATCCTGCTGAAAAAGTTGATAGATTTTTATTAGGATTAAAAGATAATTTCAAAAACTAAACCAAAAGATAGTATAAAAACAAAAACAATTGGGAGGCCGAGGTGGGTGAATCACAAGGTCAGGAGTTTGAGACCAGCCTGGCCAACATGGTGAAACCCCGTCTCTTTTAAAAATACAAAAATTGACCAGCTTGGCCAACATGGTGAAACCCCGTCTCTACTAAAAATACAAAAAATTAGCCAGGCGTGGTGGCAGGTGCCTGTAATCCCAGCTACTCGGGAGGCTGAGGCAGAAGAAGGAGGAACCAGGGAGAAGGAGGTTGCAGTGAGCCAAGATCATGCCACTGTACTCCAGCCCGGGCGACAGGGCAAGACTCTGTCTCAAAAAAGCAAACAAACAAACAAAACAAAACAAACAAAAAAACCAAAAGCAAATCAAATGCTGGATTGTGGTGTAGGGGAAAATATGTAAGAGCAGAAAATCATACACCATCTCACCAGTCTTGCATTTCAGTTGAATTACTACTGCTTTGCACAGCCATCCTTTTATGAATGTGGCAATCAGATTACAATACAAACAAGTGCTCATCCTGAAAAAGTGAACTACCTTGAGCTTTCTTTCTTCACTTTTATGCGTGGCATGGGACCCCACACGTATTTTCAGTTTCACAGTGTTAGCCACATGCCCGTGCCGCCACTCTGCTTACCTGGCTCCACTTCATGCCATCCACTTGACTGACTGCCACTTCCTGGGGAGCGCCCTTGGCCTGTATAAAATGGCTCCTCACCAGGACTGTCCATTTCATCCTCCACAGACTTGAGGCGCTTTGTGGAGCTGAAATAACAAATGGGTGCATGTTTAAAAGCAATCGCAACCACCTTTCTCTTGGACACTGCACCTCTGGTTGAAAGAAAGCCAAGGGAGGAAGCAATTGGGCAACTTAATGTAGTTCTAGGACTCCTTTTAAACTTCTGTTCAGTCTGGTGAGTCACTGGATGTAGAACAAAGTCTTGGGTCTGTGTTGTTCCAAGTGTCTGAGTTTGATTTTTATTGTCAATCAAGTTGCTGCTGCTGCCACATCCTGTTCCTGTTTCCTTTGAGGAATAAGCGGCTGGCTCTAGCTCCTGCCTCCACCTGGAAGTGTTGGGAGTAAGGCCACATATTTCCTATCTCCACAGGTGGTGGCTGGGGCCTGGCCATCAGCAATGAACCTGGGCATCAATTTAATCCCTGCTGGAACCTCAGAAAGGATAAAAAGCAGGGCTCGTGATCCTTCAGGAAAAGCTTGGATTGGGCTGGGCATGGTGGCTCAAGCCTGTAATCCCAGGACTTTGGGAGGCCAAGGCAGGCTGATCACACTTGAGGTCAGGAGTTTGAGACCATCCTGGCCAACATGGTAAAATCCTATCTCTACTAAAAGTGCAAAAATTAGCTGGGTGTGGTGGCAGGCACCTGTAATCCCAGCTACTCGGGAGGCTGAGGCAGGACAATTGCTTGAATTGAGAGGTGGAGGTTGCAGTGAGCCGAGATCGTGCCACTGCACTCAACCCTGGGCGACAGAGCAAGATTCTGTCTCAAAAAAAAAAAAAAAAAAAAAAAAAGAAAGAAAGAAAAGAAAAGAAAATGAAAAGTTTGGATTGCTTTTTTTTTCTTTTGCCACATTTTCCCATCTTCCACTTGGAGTTGTTCATTCAAAAAAACATTTACTGCACAGCTAGTCCAGGTCCTGCTCTAAATACTAGAAATAAATCAGTGAACAAAACAAATAAAAAGGAAGGAAGAAGGAGTGCTCTGTCCCCTGAGAACAAGAGACATAAAAAAAGAGTGGCCCAATGACTTTTATGTGCTTTCTCTATGCAAAGATTATCAAAACAAAGTTTTATTCCATCAGGGTAGGGATTTTCATTTTTTGGAGAGGTACGGTCAAGAAACTTTCAGAATATATCTCATTTTTTCCAGTTGAAGGACTGAATATTCTCCCCAGTTTGAGGCTTCAGGAGTGAAAACGTAGTGAAATGCCGCCTGCTGCTATGCTTGCTGTAGTTGTTTTAATTGAATGCCACAGAATCAGGAAGTTTGCAGGGGTGATAAAACTGTCAAATCTACCCATATTATTAGGATGAGTAGATTTCATATCTACTGGGAGTGCGTGTTGGGAAATCTCTTCTTCACGTTTCAGGGGACAGAAGTTTTCGTATGTTTCATTCATGAAATACCTACTGTGCGCATCCTACATGCCAGGTGCTGTGCAAAGTGCTGGGATATAGAGATGAGTCAGACATGGAGACAGAGAGGCAAACAAAACTGTGCAAAAGAGAAATATAGGAGTTATGATGGAACCACACACAGGGTACAGTGGGTCACACAATGGAGACAGTGATGAGCCAGGGGTTCGGGAAAGGCTTCCTGGAGGAAATGGCTCCTGAGCTATCTTCAAGAGGGTCAAGGAGACAGGGAAGAATGAAGGAAAGGGCAGAGGCAGGGCTGCTCTACAGCTGATGTACCACTCAGGCAGCCATTTGGTATTAAAAATATTATCAATGGGCAAACTGTCATTGTCTTAAACTCCATACATTTCTTCCAACCTTGCCTCCCCTTCTTTGTCCCAGACACCCTCACAGTCCGAAATCTAAAGGGTTAATGTCTTGCAGATCAGGAGCATTCCAGGACCTAGCCAAAGAAAGCCCTGCAAGCAGGGCAGTGTCTGTTCTAATTGGTATGCTCATGTCACACAGGTTATCAGATATTTCGAACATAACCCCCAGAAGGGAGGAGCCTATCAGGAAGAAGCCACATTGTGAGTGAAGTGTGATATGTTCAGAGAACTGCCAGCTGTTTAGGATGGCTGAGGTGGGGAAGAAGGGGCACAGCGAGTGAGAAGGGTGGAGGTTATAGAAGATATTGCACGTCTGGACTTTCTCCTATAAGCAATGTAGACTCCCCGAAATAATCTAAACAGGGAATGACAGGGGAGTTATATTTTAGAAAAGTTACTTTGGTAATTGTGCAGATGATAGATTTAGAAAGGCAAAGGGGAAAACAGGAAAATGGAGCCTAGGGCAGGGAGACAGTTAAGCTATTGCAGCAATCTGAATGAAAAAATGTGGAGGGCCAATTTATGGCAAGAAATTCTAATTATTAATGTTGGCATTCCAGTATTCTTAGCCATTAAGTTCTATTCTCATTAAAGCCAGACCACAGGAAAGCAACATAACTGTGCCATGCTAGCTTAGTACTCAAAGGAAATGCCTTTAATGCTTATTTAATGTTCTTTGCTGGGCTTTCCTTGAAAGTTCAATGAAAAATAGCCACTGAAGAACTTTTCTATATTTTATGTAAAACTACATCTAATGGGAGTCCTTTATAAGACGATATACACAGCGAATTCCTTACAAAACATAATCAGAAAAATATGGTCTCTTTGAACAAATTTATCTTGTATCCTTTTATTAGAAATGCAAACTATATAACCCTTTTTGCCTTGGCAACCAGGAAGCTCAGGGCTAAACTTAAGGCATAACTCTTGGTTCAGGCTCCTGCTATAACAATTTTTTTCCACATGGTTTCTGGCCTCTTTCTACATTTAATATTACCTGTTGTTTTAAAATGGAAAGCCACTGGAAATCATCTTGGAAACAGAAAGAATACATGTTAGAAAAAAATAAACATTTCCCTGAAGTACTCTGGCAAATAAAATGAGAAGCCTATATGTTCTGATGGGGCTGTAAGATCTTCAGGGAAAATGACTATATACTTTTTAATCTCTAGTGCCTACCACAGTGTCTGGCTAACAGAAGATACTAAAAAACTGCTGAATTGGGCTACTGACTTAGAAACAGCCATACAAATACATGTGACATGGATTCATCCAAGTATAATTCAGTTAGATCTAGCCCCAAAGGCCAACTCCATTGTCCATCATTCTCCCATTATTGATACTTTTCTGAGTTTTTAAAGGTTTTGATTTCCTTGGCATCCTCTAATAAAATGCAAATACCCCAAGCCAGTATTAAATCCTAGAGTTGAAAGATTCTATAGCTATCGGTTGATGCCTTAGTTTGAAAGCAAGGATTTTCAGAAGTTGACAAAAGAGGGCTGGGCATGGTGGCTCACACCTATAATTCCAACACTTTGGGAGGCCAAGGCAGGAGGATCACTTGAAGCCAGGAGTTGAGAGACCACCGTGGGCAACATAGCGAGACCTTGTCTTTACAAAAAAAAATATTTTTTAAATCAGCCGCGTGTGGTGGCAGATGCCTACAGTCCTAGCTACTTCAAAGGCTGAGGCAGGAGAATTGCTTGAGCTCGGGACTTCGAGGTTGCAGTGAATTATGATCACTGCACTCACCTTGGGTAATAGAAAGAGACTCTGTCTCTATTGGAGAAAAAAAAAAATTAACATCTGGAGGGAGCATGGAAAAGATAAAAAGATCAGGAATGAAGCAAGTTAGGAAGCACAGGTGGAGGCTTCCGAGACAACTTTACTCTGACTTCACAAACTTTTGACAGCTGGTTTATCTTGATAAAGTTTTTTGGAATAAAAAATGTATCGTATCCCAATTTTTACACTGCTCTTTCTATGATTTTGAAGATGTTTACCCTGAAGGGGTACAGAACTTACAGTCAGTACCATTGCATCACATTATCTACCTACCTATCTATCTATTGAAATGAATCAGTCATTGATTTTGGTTTCTTGCTCTTTCTAACACACTCATTTTCCCAGAAACACTTGAGGGAAGCAGGAAAGTATCTGTAAGATCTACACGAAAAGGATGAATATTCTCCTAAGGAGTGATGCACTATTTCTTCTTGTATGTGGAATTTTTTCTTGTATTTCTAGCAATTATATCTAAAAAATAAGGTAAAAGTATTACCCTAATTCCAAATATCTTAATTCCTACTCTGTGTAATTACGGCCTAGAAGTCTTACTTAGCATTCCTAAGACTGCAAAATGCCTTAACTTTCCTGAGTGTTCATAGGACCCTGAACTGAAAATTCCCACTTCTCAGTCTCTACCACTAGATTGTAAAGCCCCTCTTATTTGACTTTACACCCATGGTGCCAAGGACGGTGTCCTTGTTTCTTACTAATAACGTTCGCTGCTGAATGGGAAGAGCTAGACGCTGTCGTTCAAGGGACTCACTGTCTAGATGGGGAGGCTGCACACGTGTTGGCCTCAAAGATGGTTAAGAATAACTCAAGACGGCAAACACTAAATGCCAGGGAGGAATAGAGATGCTAGAAACTCCTTTTTTAGGACCTCATATTCTGTTGTTCCTTACTAAAAGAGTCAGTCCTATTCTCAAGAGGATTCTGTGTGAAAAGAGCATATTTTTAAAGTTCCAACAGACCTGAGTGTGAATGGAGACTCCTCTATTCACTAGGACTGTGACTTTGGGCAAGTTACTTAACTTCTCTGAGCTTTGTGTTGCTCCACTGTTTAAATGAAAACACTGTGTGTGTTGTCAAATTATTGTGAAGAATAAATCAGAACAGGTATACAACTCACCTAATATGGTGCCTGCCACAGAGAAAATGACCCATTAATATTGGCACAGCAGGAAGACATATTGATCGGTGAACATTTCTATATATAAATCTGAGATATTCTTCTGGGCACACTTTCTAACCTGTACATCGTTAATTCTGCTGAATCTATGTATTTAAAGAATTTTAAAAATCATCCTAGGAAGAGCCTAATGAGAGTAAAACAAACATATTACCGGGTTATTAACTACTGATGCAGGTTATAATTAGCTCCTTATCAGGGTTAGTTATTTGCAGAATATGAGAACGACACTGGCCTTTTAAATGACATTCATAATGAGCTTTCCTCTCAGAGAGTCACAAAAGATAATAAAACATAGCTGGAGAATTGTGTGAAAACATAAAAAGGGGGAAACACTGTTTGGGAGGTACATGGTACACATACAGCACACACATGAAAAACAAACAGCCCATAAACTTTTAAATTAATCACTGCCCACAGGTATTTGCAAAGCTTTTTCATGTTGACTGAGTACAGTTACACACAAGGTCTCTCCCATCAGCAAACATTCAAAATCCTCAAAATGTATGAACACCCAAATATATTCACAATCTCTTTCTTCTATTATAAATATACTTTGGATGTGTGACTTTTTTGTCCCCCTGAGGAGCTGATACTACAGGGAACTAAAGGGAACATTTAAACAACATGAAAGATGATGGTAGGATTTGATAGTTATATTAAGGGAATACCTGTTTCTTTAACTGTCTTCAAGGTATTAGGGATGACTAAGTTGATCTTTTTTTTAAAGTAGTGATGTTTAAAATATATAAAGGCAAGGTAAGAACGAGTGTGCACCAAGGAAAAGTTCTATAATTTGGGCATTGTTTTAAATCATAAGACTCAGGTACTTGCTTTAGGAGGAATATACCTTTGTCAGACATTTTTCTGCAAAGTACACAAACATTAAAGATCGTTCTGTACCATTCTATTCTTTGTTGTCACAGTCCAGTGCTAAAGCCAATTTGTAAAAGAATACTGTGGGTTTAATGCCTAATCCCTTTCCCTCTGGTACAGGTTATCTAGAGACAACACGATCTTGCAAAAATGCTTCATTTTGATTTTGGCTTTGTGACGTTAAAGGGAGCAAGAACCCCAGAATCATTATCAGGTTACACTACTCTAGCTTTACTGTTTTTAAGGTCTCTCAATACAATGGGGTCTGTGGTCTGGCCCCACCCTCACTTGAGGTTATGCAAGTGACTACTTCCATTTGTATAACCTCACACCAGGATATCAAATGGGTTTCACCTTTTAGGGCAACTCCAGTAAACTGGATATTGAGAGCTTTGGGGGCTCGGTGGGAAAAGAGCTGGCACTGAGCTGTAATGTCTGCTGTGGGCATGACACTGAGACTGTCACCAGTGTTCACTTCCTGCCAAACAAGCCAAAACATATGCCCTTTGCTGCAGTCCAGCCTTGTCCTTCATTTCCTGAGAACATGTTATGTTCATCATCCATCCTTCCTCCAAGCCTTTGCTCATTTTTCACCCCACCCAGAATTCCATTCCTTTTCCTTTCTATCTCACCAACCCTAACCAACATTTAGAGCTGGAAACAAGGTATTCTTTTTGCATAAAGCTCTCTTTAACTATTTTTAGCCTGTGTCACACAATTTAGTTCACAGTTTTTTAGTGTGTGTGCGTGTGTGTGTGTGTGTGTGTGTGTGTGTATTTAATCTTGCCACATGCATATTTGCTTTATCTCCCCAACGAGACCGACAGTCTTTTGGGGCTGAACCCACTACTTTGTTATCTTCTATTACTAAAGGCGCATTGCTAAATCCATAGTGGGCCCAGAGTTAAAATCAAGGTGTGCAACCATGTAGCATAATTTCTTCAAGAGCTGCCAATAAAATTACCTCGTAGAGGATGTGCTGGGTAAAGACCTCCTCATTGCTCCTGGACTCATGCTGTAGTATGAAGAACTTTCCAAATCTGAGAGAGAAAAATTTGGGCCAGTTCCTGCAGCTATTGGTGCTAGAATTAAGAAAACAAACAAAAATCAGTTAAATTCTGTGGATAAAAAAATCAATGACAGCATCCTCAGTGTTGCATTTAGCACATTTTCTTTTTGCATTTATATGTAAGCGAATCGAAAATAATCAGTAATAAACTATGACTCCAAAGGAATATTGACTAAAAATAGTCTATACAGGAAAGGCATATTTTTTCTAATATATTTTTCATCTTTTCTCTTTATGTAATAGTAAATTGTCACCAAGGTTGCAACATTCTTGGATGCTTTTAACAAAAATACTTCCCCACATTTTGGTCTTACACTTTTCTGGAATGACCAGCCAAAACACTCTTTAGACTTTTCTAACTTTATCTGATCCTGACAGCTTCTACTCATCTGTATTTTGGAATTCTGTTTTGAACTTTGGTGAGAACAAAGTCATCTTTCTAAGCTGTCCATTCCCAGTTTCTTATAACATGAAATGTGTGGTTTCTCTTTACTCTGAATCACCTCTCCATCTTGCATACACCTTAACTGAATATTTGTCCAACCTTGTAATTTAAGGCAGGCCCATAGTTTTTATGAATAAAGTTTTACGGGAGCATAGCCATGGCCTTTCATTTCTATATTGTCTATGACTGCTGCCACATTACACCATCAGAGACGAGTAGCTGCAACAGAGACCATATGGCCCACAAAGCCTAACATATTTATTAGCTGGCCTCTTATAAAATGATTTTCTGACCTTTGATTTAATTTTGATTATTTGTGATTTTCAGAAATGACCCTTGTGTGAGACTGATTCCTTGCATTTTCTGTCTTTGAATCTTTAGATACCTTTTTGACAGTAGTTTAATACATGTTTTCCAATGGACAAATAACAAGTACCAATTCTATAAAACAACTCCGTAAAATTAGTGGTGTAAATTATTAGTGCAAATAATCTTTTTGAAAGGTTATGTCAAAGCAGGAACAATAGATACTGTACTGAGGCACTGGTTTGAGAGCTAAGCCCACATGATTTGATACTGGAATAAATAAATTACAGGTTAGTATCCATCAGAAGAAATAACAATAAGGGTTATCATGAACCAGGGACATTTGTACATCCAATGAATGCTTACTGAGAGCCTGCTACTGCCAAGAACTATGATGAGTGAGGAAGGCACTTAGATGAAAGACATGGTCCCTACCCTTAAACGGAAAAGAAAGTCTGACAGATTAATTTTTTAAAAGTCTGCGAAGTCATCTGATAGAGCTACAGGTGCTCAACTTACAATGAGGCTATGTCCTGATAAACTCATCATAAGTTAAAAATATCATCAGCTTAAAATGCACTTAATATGCCTATTTTATAATAAAGTGTTGAATATCTCATGTAACTGATTGAATATTGTACTGAAAGTGAAAAACAGAATAAGTGTATGGCTACTTGAAGTATGACTTCTACTGAACACATGTCACTTTCCCACCATCGTAAAGCTGAAAATTTTAAGTGGAATCATTGTAAATTGGGGACCATCTGCATTCCTAAATTGAAGTGGCTGCAAAGAAGTGGGTTATCTAACCCAACCTGGGGATAAGAAGTTCAAGGGAATGGCCTCAGAAAACGTGAAGCCTGGAAACAATGTTAAAAGGAAAGGAGGAATTATGCAACTGAAAGGGATGGAGGACTTCTAGGTAGAGGAAACAGCATCAAGAGAGCAGAAAATGTTTACTGGATTTCTGATAGCTTGGTATGATGACATAGTGTAGAATACACGGGAAAGAGGAAGGATGGTTAAGGTGAGGTTATGAAGGATCTGGCAGGTTTTTCTTTCTTTGTTTTAGAGACAAGAGCTCACTTTGCCACACAGGCTAAGTGCAGATGCAGAGGTGTGATCATAGCTTACTGTAGCCTCCAGCTCCTGCGCTCAAGCAATCTTCCCGCCTCAGCCTCCGGAATAGCTGGGACCACAGGTATGCTACGCCACACCCGGCTAATTTTTTAAAAATTTCTTTTGTAGAGATGGGTCCTTACCATAATGCCCAGGCTGGTATTGAACTTCCAGTCTAAAGCGATCCTCCTGCCTTTGCCTCCCAAAGCACTGGGATTACAAGCATGAGCCAACATGTGCCCGGTGGGATCTGGCAGGTTTATTTAAGGAACATAAATTTGAATTCAGCAGATTCCCAAGTTTATAAGCTATTAAAGCATCTACCTCACCCCACTATAACTGGGGATTATACTGTCAGCATCTAATATAGTCCCTGACACCAGGAGGCAGTCAGTAAACACTGGTCAATGGAATGGGTTGCTGCATTGAGTTGTATTCAATAGTCAAAGAAGGACCAGCAAAGTATGGGAATGCTATCATCAAATTTGCATTTATCACCTAGAAAGATCAGTCTGTCATGAGGGTAGGCATGGAGGTGAAAGGGTGGGGGGCGCCTGAAGAATATAATAGGCAAACCAGAGAGTCCACTGGGGCATTTATGCAAGGTATAGTGGGGATGGGGACTAAACTCAAAGGATGGAAAGGAGGAGCCTGATGTAAGTTATTCAGGAGTTAGAATCAAGATGTACTGACTGGCTGGGCACACGTGTGGTGGCTCACGCCTATAATCACAGCACTTTGGGAAGCTGAGGTGGGAGGATTGCTTGAGACCAAAAGTTCAAGACCAGCCTGAGCAACATAGTGAGACTATGTCTCCACAGAAAAAAAAAATATTTTTTTTAAAAATTAAATTAGCTAGGTGTAGTGACACGTGCCTGTAGTCCCAGCTACTTAGGAGGCTGAGACGGGAGGATCACTTGAGCCCAGGAGTTTGAGGCTGCAGTTAACTATGATCATGTCACTACAACTCCAGCCTGGGCAATGGAGTGAGAACCCATCTCGAATAAAAATCTTGGAAAATAAATAAATAAAAAGAAGACATGCTGACTTCTTGACTATCGTAATAATGGGAACAGGGGAGTATGGGATAACTCCCACGATTAGCACTTGGGAAACCAGGTGAATTGAGGTGCCATAATGGAACTATGGAATCGAGGGACGGTATGAGGAAATAAAACAATTTCTAAGAATAAATACTTAGTTATTTGATTAATACCAATGAATAAACCTTAATCACAACTGTCAATATACAAAAACAGTCACTGCTAAAAAAAATGGAAGACTGAAATTCACATCTACTTTCTGAAATTCAAACACATCTCTCAGTAACAGGCTCTAAGGGCCTTTCGTTTAAAAAAAAACGGTGAGGCTTGACAATAAGTGTAAACAGGGTTCTAATTAATAATTCTGATAGTCATTCCCTAATTTGCTTTTTATATTAAATTTATTTGCATAATTTCCTCTTTTATTAGGTAATCTTTATGTATGAAATAGGCTATGGAGGAAGGGTGGGGGAGATTAGTCAAATATGAGCCTAGATCACTCATCCTCACTCCCAGCAAGCTGACATACAGTAGGTACTTAATGCTTTGTGCCTTCCTGGAGATTAGAGATTCACACCTCTCATTAACCAAAGAAGGGTTATAAGGCTGATCAGTGTCATAGCTCTGGATTTAGATGTTTTTCACAAATGTCAGAAGGGAGATGAGGTCTCAACTGGGTGGAGAAGCCGTTTCATTCCTGAGCATGGCGGACACTGTCTGGCCCTCACTCCCTCGCTCTTGGAAGGAGAGGAACACAGAGCAAAGTGTGAATGTGAGGGACTTGATCAGACGGAGAGAAGAAGAGGCCTCCTAGCTCGTGGTGAACATCCAGCTGCACTTAAATTTAATACTTTATCTATCCTAGAAAAATGTCTTTTGCCTTATCTTTTTTAAATGTCAAGAGAGCCAGAATAGGGGAAGAAAAAGAAAAGCCTGTGTAAACATGGTGTGCCCACCTTCCAGATGTTAAAAAATAATTAAGCCCACATAAACGGGCTTAGCTTGGTCATATATATACTTCCTGTGAACCACTTAAGTACACTGGAATTGTAATGTGGCAAATGGCACCAGGTGGCCTGGCACGTCCCGAAAGTGTCTATCAGACTTCTGATGAGTAACTTGAGAGCTTGGCAAACTGGTTATGTGTGTCTTGAATTTTAAAACATCACTAAGTTTCTGAAATGAGAATGGGTTTCACACCCTGAGTTAAATAATCCTAGTAATTCACAGACCCAAACTCTGCCTTCTTCAAGAGTCTTATAAAGGAACATCCCCCTGCAACTGCCTGTAGGTATGAATCACATGGACAGTTGGCTTATTGGGTTGGATTCTGACTCAGTGACACTGTCACAGCCAAAGAGAAAGCTTCACACTTGAGGGGAGCAGTCCCTATCAAAGTATCCTTGCATTGGGTTGGGTATTCTCAGTACCTCTAATCTGGAGAACAGAAAGAGCTTTTGGCAGGTCATGAAGAACTGAAGAGGTGGGCTTTAGGCAGGCTTTTTGGAGCACCCATGATGCCATGTTTTGATAAGCACTGTACTTACTGTACTTAATTTCATTCTCAAACCTCAAAGTGCATTTGCTAGATGAGGAGAACGAAGCCTTGAAGTGAGATTAAATAACTTGTCCTCGATTACAAAAAGACAAAAAGAGAGAGTCAGGGTTAAAATGTAAGGATACTGACCTCAAAACCTGGGCTTTTCTTACTGCGCCACACTGACTCCCACATATAGTATTTGTCTTAAACTTGAAATGATAAAAAGATACACAGTGTCTCTGTCCCCAAAAGGTTTACAACCTAAGTGGAATACTAAAATAATACCTGAATATCTAATGCAATGCCGAACATGCTAAATTTCATAGGAAAAAATGCAAAGAATGTGCTAGGAAAGTTCAAAGGAGTCATGGATCCCATTGGCTTGTGAGATCAGAAAAAGGTTTGATTCCAGGAAGAGTGGGCACTTAAGCTGAGCCTTCGAGGATAGTTCAGATTTAAAGAGGCACAGGACACAGGAGAGGCTTTCTTGGCAATAGACAAAGTATGTGCATAAGTTTGGAGATAAGAAGCAAAGTGGGCCGGGCACGGTGGCTCACGACTGTAATCCCAGCACTTTGGGAGGCTGAGGCAGGCGGATCATGAGGTCAGGAGATCGAGACCATCCTGGCTAACACGGTGAAACTCCATCTCTGCTAAAAATACAGAAAATTAGCCGGGCGTGGTGGTGGGCGCCTGTAGTCCCAGCTACTCGGGAGGCTGAGGCAGGAGAATGGTGTGAACCCAGGAGGCGGAGCTTACAGTGAGCCCAGATCGTGCCACTGCACTCTAGCCTGGGCGACAGAGCAAGACTCCATCTCAAAAAAAAAAAAAAAAAAAAAAAAAAGTGGGATCCAGGACAGTTTCTGAATAGGGAAGTGATAAGATCACTGTGGACCTGGGAACAATCACAAGGCAACTGATATGGTTTGGCTCTGTGTCCCCACCCAAATCTCACCTTGAATTGTAATTTCCACATGTCAAGGGTGGGACCAGGTGGAGATAACTGAATCTTGGGGGCAGTTTCCCCCATGCTGTTCTCGTGATAGTGAGTAAGTTCCCACGAGATCTGATGGTGTTATAAGGGGCTTCCCCCTTTGCTGGGGACCGATTCTCTCTCCTGCTGCCCTGTGAAGAGGTGCCTTCTGCCATGATTATAAGTTTCCCGAGACTTTCCCAGCCATGTAGAACTGTGAGTCAATTAAACCTCTTTTCTTTACAAATCACCCAGTCTCGGGTATTTCTTCATAGCAGCATGAGAACGGACTAACACAGCAACCATATTCAGAATGCATGGAAGGGGGCTAAGATTCTGGAGGTGGGGAAATCAGAAGATTGATGCAAGTGTCCCAGCAGAAGGGAATGGAGGCCAAGACTCTGCTGCTGGGAAAGAAAATAGAATTTTTACAATGGAAATTTGACACCTCCTCCAGGAGAGCAAACAGGTCTCAAAGACCTGTTCCCAATTGTGCACTTGAAAGGGCATAAATAAATGATCATATTCTTCTAACAAATATAAAATATCAATAAGATGTATGTAACACAGTATACTTTTTAACTAATAATGGCATTAAGTCCTTCTTTTGAAAATTAAGAAACTAATAAAAGTTGTGGAAGGTTAAATGATTTGTCCAATGTCACATAAATTCTGGCCTGCCCAGGTTATCACATTGGGTTTTTGAGGTTAAAGACTAACTGCCTTCTGGTGTGCTATAAAAACGATGCAGTCGCTGCCAATCAAATGTGGAGATGTTAGGTAGGACTGGACCAAGCACAGCACTGCCTTTCTGTTCCATTTATTGTGAAATCCAGTTTTGCTCCATTTGTAATTGACTCTGGGCTTTATCATGCTTTGTCTCATATGTAACATTTTCTCCCTATCTAGGTTGAGATGCATTTTGAAGGTTATAAAGAGATGTCATGGGGCATAAAAAATGCTAGTATAGGACGGGGAGAGATTGTCTAGATTCCCAATCCTGCCAATCACCACCTGTTTACTTGATTAAGTCACTGGAACTCTTTGGGCCTCATAATTCTAATAATAATTATGGCAAAAATGAACTGCCACCACTAACCACTGCTGCCACCATCACCATCACGATTTATTAGGCATCATTTATGAACCAGAAGTTGGGCTAAGGGTTTTAAGCACATCATCCCACTTACTCCTCACCAGAAGTCCCCAACCTTTTTGGCACCAGAGACCAGTTTCATAGAAAACAATTTTGCCATGAATCAGAGTAGGGGGGTGATTTCGGAGTGAAACTGTTCCCCCTCAGATCATCAGGCATTAGACTCTCATAAGGAGGCTGCAACCCAGGTCCTTCGCACGTGCAGTTCACAATAGGGTTTGCGTTCCTAGGAGAATCTAATGCTACCACTGATCTGACAGGAGGCAGAGTTCAGGGAGCAATGCTCACTCACCCGCCACTCCCCTCCTGCTGTGCAGTCCGGTTCCTAACAGGCCACTGACTGGTACTAGTCTGCAGCCTGAGCACTGGGGAATCCTGATCCTCACCATACCACCAGGAAGGAACTGAGGCACAAAGAGGTTAAATAACTCTCCCAGGTCATGAAGTCAGAGGTGATACACATGACTTTAATCCTACAGGTCCTAGAGCTCCCTTTGACCAGTTTTGTGTACACAGTTGATCATCAATAAATATGCTTTGAATTAAGAAGAGTGAATAATTACCCTCCCTATTTGCCCCCTCTAAACTTTAAACAATACCAAATGAAACTCAGAATTCTATAAATACATATAAATTGTGTTGAAGGCTCCTCAATTTTCTTAAGTAGTATTGTAATTAACGAATCTGAAGTATTTTGCTCTATCGAGGAGTTTTTCTCAAAAGGTTAACTTTTGGAAATGGTCTCTTCAAATATTACTTCCAAGTCATTCATCCTCTACCCCTGCCTCTTTCCTGTCATAAGTAGAATGTAGTCTTTGTGTCATTTCTTAATAAATGGTTTGCTATTAAGGAATCATTATAGTAATGTAGGCTACTGGAAGAAAGGGGTTATTTTAGTAGCCAACCCTCTTAATGACCTGCTCTTCTGTACACATTAGTAGTTGGATAAGGTTGTGGTTATTGAACTTCTGCCATCCACCAGAGACAAGCTGCTCAGGCTTGCATTGTTGGAAAGAGAGGATGATGGAAAAAATTTCCATACAAATTTTTGAGCTACTCTGCCTGAGAGATTACAGTGTGCTAAGTTTCCAACTTGTTCAACGGAAGTCAGCAGGGAGCATTAACGAAATGACTAGTTTGTCCAGCCTATGGTTAATAGTACATATCCTCAGAGAGGCTGTATTCAATGGAATTCAACAATATTTATGGAGCACTTTTAGTGAGCCAGGCATCATTCCAGATGCTTGAGAAACATCAGTGGACAAGATATAGAAAACCCCTGCCCTTGTGGGGCTTACATTTCAGAGACTGACCATTATTGTCCCTTCTTCAAATCTGTATGGCCACCGAGGAATATGAAAGAATGGCAATAAGTAACCCAACTCAATTTCCAACTTACAAATATGAAAAAATGGAGAGATATTTTTCTTCTGATTACATGATCTAAAACACTCAGTGAGACTTTGGGAACTTGTATTTGAAGACCGGGGGAGGGGAAAAGTCCAATAGCAGCACAGAGTTCTATGGACCCAGCACAATTTAGTGTTGTTTTGCATTCCAGTGGCAAAGATCTTGTAAGAAAGTTCATGTCACTGGCACAAAGGGACTGAACATGGGAAAATACTTGTTCTTCTTTCTATCAAAGGCACAGTTGTAAAACGCACAATGCTATGAAAACTCAAGCAAATCTGGAATCATCGTTAAAGGGAATTAACTTGGAAAGTAATTTATGGCAAGAAAATTCAACTCCTTTGTTATCTCCCTTTTACCGTAATATGCTTCCTGAACACTGCCTATGAGAAAGGGCTTTTAGAAAGAAAAAAAATAAGTATAGTAAAAATTAACTCATTTTATCAATTTGTGCTCTCTGCCAGAGTTTCCTGACTGTGGCTGTGAGAGGCTGTAAAACTGATGAATTTGCATGGAAAAAGAAACCAGTGTAAGTAATTTGTATAAGAGGTAACACGAACATAGACTGCTATAATTCAGACACCCTGCAGATAGCAGACTGCTGCAGTGTGAGCAGTTATGGGTTAGAAAAATGACCACACTGCAGTCAGTCTGACTTGAATGGAAATCAATCATAAAGGTACTTTCTCTGCAGCTTCTACGCCACAGTCTTCAGCAACTCCTTTGCCAAGCAGATTTCTGGTCTGTAAACCCTGTGCTGATCTCCTGTTTTCTACTTTTCCTTTCTAAAAGGTCTGACCAAATGCAGGCTAAGAGTATGGTTTTCCAAACAGGAACATTAAAAAAAGGCAATGAACTAAAACAAGGATTTCCCTCTATGTGAAAATGAACTTGCCTGCTATTAAAAGATTTAAGCAATGCTTTTTACGAAATGTACTATTAGGTGACAAAAGCCAGTAGAATATTTTTTAACCCCATGAAAGGCATCCGCTAACACAGACAGAGCCCTATTTTCACACATCCCTGTCTTGTGAACACATGTTAAGGAATATATACATGGTGGCGGAAGGAGAAAAGGGAGGTGAAGAGAGGAATTTTTATTTTTCAAAAAATGTTTCTGTTTCATTAAAATAGGAAAAATTAACCGATACATTTTCCCACCCCACTCCGAATCAGGAAGATACTTTATCTTTGACAGATAATTACTGTGAGTTTAATTTGTAAATTAAGTGTATTCAGGCTTTTTATTGCCATAAAATAAGCTCAGTCTTAGATCTCAAGAAACTTAAATATATACCCTGTAGAGGAAAAGGCTGTCTCCTACTTATTTTTGTATTCTCCTCAGTACACAGTGCAGGGTGCTTCATATATTACATATGCACCAAATGTTTACTGAGTTGAACTAAAATTACACGAGCTTGTTAATGAAAAATAGCTAAGAGCTAATATTTATTGAGCATTTATTACATGCCAGGCAATGTGCTAGGTATTTTACCTGAATTATCTCATTTAATCTTTGCATTATCCCTATGGAATATGTATTTATATTATTCTCATTTAGAAATGAGAAACTACGCTGAGAGTTAAGTAACATGGTCAAGATCATGCAACTAAGTAAGTGACAGAAGAAGGGCTTGAATGTAGATATTTCCTAGATATCTGTTCAAAGAAACAGGAGTGAAATTCACATTTCTAGTGTTGCTGTCTTTCCTTTGTCATCAGTTATGAAGGAGATATATTCAACACGTTTAAATAGAAGAATAATTATCGCCTACACTTATGTGGCAAAACTTCTATCTCATCATTCTCCTTCTCGCCTCTCTGCTTTTGCAGGTCTTAAACTTTATAAGCGTCAGCAAGAGTTCCATTGGATGAAGGGCCCTGCCACTTGGTCTAACAGAGCAGTCCACAGAGGGGTTAGCAATGCTGACTGATCTGCATTAGTGCCTTCTGCTTTGGGGGCTGAAATTGATTTTCTGCATTTTAGAGTATCATCATGTCTTAGCTTTTGGTTGAGGTCAAATGTGGTACCTGCTTAGTATCTGATACAGCCTCAGTCATGGGATTAAGTCTTCTCTGACAGGGATGGGATTTGATGGCCTAAGAGGTCTTTTTGCCACAGTGATCTATAAACCAGGGAAGGGCTAAGCTAAACATAAGCCCCACAACCAATAGTGCACTGGGACTACTTGACCATTAGCTATTAGGAAACCAAACCGTATCAACAGAGTCCCATCCCAACAACTGACTAATTCAGCTGTTTACAAAAAAAAAAAATAGTTTTCAATATTTCCACCAATAACTTTCATTTTTTTTCTCCTCCACCTAGTGAAAAATCCTGGGTATTAACATGTACTCATATTAACCACACACTGGATTAGTTCAGTTCCAGTATTTGACCTATGTGTGGTTTTGCTGAATGTGGACTCCACCGGCCCCATTCTAGACATGCTAAGATGGTCACTACCAACAGCCCTTCTACTCGGCAAGAGTTAGCTATGATAATGTACTCCAGCCAAATCTCAATAATATTTGTGGCCCTACTGCAGGGTAATATAGGATTTCTCTCAAGCTTTGGAGGTCACAAAAACCCCTTCTAGTTTTTCAGTGTTACTACTGGATATGAATATCCACCATTAAAAAGTTGAGGCTTATGAGTGCATAAATAAAGGTTTATTAAAAAGCACATTATTAGCTGGGCACACTGGCTCACGCCTGTAATCCAGGCACTTTGGGAGGCCAAGGCAGGCAGATCTCTTGAGCCCAGGAGTTCGAGACGAGCCTGGGCAACATGACAAAACCCTACTTCTGCAAAAAATGCAAACATTAGTTGGATGTGGCAACGCGTGCCTGTGGTCCCGGCTACTGGGAAGGCTGAGGTGGGAGGATCCCTGGGGCCTGGGAGGTGGAGTTACAGGGAGCCATGATTGTATCACCACACTCCAGCCTGGACAACAGAGTGAGACTCTGTCTCAAGAAAACCCAAACAAACCACATTGTCAGTAATGACCTGTAGCATGCTTCTGCCATTCATAGGGAATTTTTGCTCATAATATGAGTGAAAGCAAAATTTTAAAATACTGTAAAACTAAGTACTACTTTTAAGAATGCTGGTACATGGGCCAGGTGCAGTGGCTCACACCTGTAATCCCAGCACTTCGGGAGGTGGAGGCGGGCGGATCACGAGGTCAGGAGATCGAGACCACGGTGAAACCCCGTCTCTACTAAAAATACAAAAAATTAGCCGGGCGCGGTGGTGGACACCTGTAGTCCCGGCTACTCGGCAGGCGGAGGCAGGAGAATGGTGTGAACCCGGAAGGTGGAGCTTGCAGTGAGCCGAGATCACGCCACTGCACTCCAGCCTGGGTGACAGAGCGAGACTCCATCTCAAAAAAAAAAAAAAAAAAAAAGAATGCCGGTACAGATGACCCAGGTGTGGTTTGCCACTTAAAAAGTTGTTAATGTGTCAGTGTTAGATTGAGAATTTTAAAACATTCTGCTATCCACGAGATATCCTAGGAGAACAATTTCTAGAATAATGCAGAAACACAGGCTCTGGCTGAAAATTTGAGGAAAAAGAATCTTCTGAAAATTTGAGGAAAAACAATGCTCAAAACAGAGGAATGAGGTCTACTATTGGCATGCTCTTACTCTATTGGAATTACTAACTCCGTAAGGGTCACTAGAGTGGCTCTTCTAATAATTGGTTGTTAGAACATGAATTCTAAAATTGGCCCTTCTTAATTTATACACGCACACACACATGCATTTTCAATAAATTTACTGATAGTGGTCAGCTCCAAGATTGGCTCTGAGCACACAGTGAAGAACGATCAGGGGCTGAGGCTCTGTTCAATAATCGTGGTGGTTATCATTGTTGAGCATCTACTATGTGGCAGACACTAGACTATCTGTCACTTAACCCTCATTACACTCCTGAGAGGTATTCCTATTTCCAGTACTTGGACTTAGACTCAGCACACAGTTAGGACTTCATAAACATTTGCTCAATGAATAAATGATTGTAACCTAGAAGAAAACACAGCCAAGAGGGGTTAAATATTGCCCAAAGCTATAGAGTTGATAAGTTGCAAAGCTCAATTCCCCAACTCTATATCCTGTACTGTTTTACAATATCATGCTGCCATCTTGAATATAGGTTTTATACTTGACACATAGAAAGCATAACTGATGAATGACCTAGAAATAGATGAACATACGAATAGAGACCATGACAACACATTAGTATGTACATCAAGGGGTATGTTGTGTTTCTCCCCAGTTCAAATCTTTATAATAAGAGTATTCATAGTCTGGTAAATTTATCAGAAGCTTCAGCTGAGAACAGAGATCAAAACGGCCCCAAATTCTGCCATGAGAACTCTCACTGCCAGCTCTAACCAGGAAGATTGTAGGAGTATGCATGTAAGAGAAAGGACTAGACCTTCATGCAGAGCAGTGACTGAAGGATACACTAATGTCATAAGCGTATTCCTGCCATAGTTCTAATTTCAACAGCTCAGTGGTCCATGACAACAGCCAGGGCACATATCGAACACAAGGTATATGCACCTTTTAATTCATAGGGCTGAGTCGGCTGAGGACAGAGTCAGTCTAAGGGTGGGGATACTCTCACCTTACATGGCTTCATTAGGTGAGGAGGGTAGGATAGGAAAAAAATCAAGCTTGGCCACCCATACTGTGAGCTAGGATTCAGAAGAAAGCGTAGTTTGACGACAATTTCTATTACTACCAGTCCATTGCACTTGCTGCCAGCTTTACTACCCAAATATTCACCCCAAACATGTCAAGAAAATTAAAAGGAAAAAATCATACAACAAAACATCCTCCTGAACTAATTCAATTTCAATATTTATTTTGAAAATTTATTGAATTATAGTAGAGGAAGCTGGCTGAATTAAGCCAGCCAGACTGTTATTTTTCTTCCTACGAGTATGGCAATATTTATTATTTTACCTCTCTATGAGGGGTTGATTAAAACTAGAAAATGTAACATTTGCAAAGTCATAATATATTCAGAAGAAGGTGGTTCAGATAGGCAAAATAAAAATATATAGGGGCCAATCAGAATTTTCTCTTCCATAACTTAGATTTTCTTTAAAAACTACATTTGGAAATAGACATTATGATTTTTTTAAAGGGCCACCCACTCTTTTGTCTGCTCCACACTCTACCTTCACTCTAGAAGAGGTGCCATTGACTTCTACAGATATAAAATGTGTGACGTTCATTTTAAAATTACTAGTAGAGCCTGCTATTGACCATCCAATTATGCCGAGTTCCATTTATAAACATAGCTAACCACTAAGTTTATGGAGACTTTTTGTGCTGCTTTAATAGGATATTGATCGAGCACATAGTTTGAGTAGACTGCCATTGAATTGTGTAATGGCAAACAAAAGGCAAGGTCACGGCAACTGTTCATGCTAGGGCTGCAATCTATTTTTTATTATATTCTTTTTGTTTCTTCCTTTAATGCTCGAGCCCAAATGGTTTCTTTTGAAAGAAGATCTTGCTTAAGAATATAAGCTATTTTAAAAATTAATTTCCATGCAATGATCACAGCTATCGTGTTACTTAACACAGGAAAACCAACAGGCCACTAGTTTAGAAAGAAAGTTTTAAATCTATCCCACTTTAATTAAGATCTAAAGTACTGCGAATGTTTAAATGGCACCCCAAATGACTGGATGTCTGGAATTTCTTATCCTACACCCATTTCCTCATTAGTCCTTCTGTGCAAGAACATTTTGTATTTTCAAGTTTGGGCTTGTTCCTACCCAAGAGTTTCGTTTTCTTGTTGTGCCTTGTAGCCGAGTTCATTCTGTCTTAGAAGTTCCACCATGTCAGGTTAGAATATTGCCAATAGTTCTTACTAAATTACTAGCCTGAAAATCTAAGCATCTGAATATGGGTACTTGAAAACGTAACAAGGACCCAGAGACTTCAAAAAGAACTTTAGAAATGAACTGCAATTTGGATGTTAATGACAATTCCTGTGTGAAAATATAGAAAGAGCGCACATTTCTAAGGCAGAAAACAGCCACTAGGGTGCCACCTCATGCCAGGCTGAGGCATATGCCTGGTTCCATTCACTCCCACTCTCCATTGACAAACAACTCAGGAATCCTGTAGTGGACCCGGCAGCTGAGCTTTGTGGCAGAGCCAGGACAATTCAGCTGCCGGATTTTAATAGATTCTGCAGCACTGCAACAGGAACCAAAAATCAGTCCGGGTAACTGAGAGTGGTTTTCACACCCAAAGACTCTAAGGCTGGCCACAGTGTACTGAGAATCCTGGCTTTTCAAAATTCCAGGGCCATGAAGTCATCCTTAGCCACGAAGTTTACTTAACCCTTGCAGCCGGCTTGGGTGTACAAACCGCCGCTAGAAAATTAGAGCCCACCAGGCCAGAGTCACAATGGCCTGTGTGTATTTGCGGTTTTCCTCTTTCCCAGTGAAGTAGTTAGGGTTTCGAAGTCACTCCACCAACTTCAAGTAAAATAGAGTCAGCAATTTGGAAGGAAATGGGCAGAAGTAGTGGATTTTTCAGGAGAACTTTCTGGGTTCCTACCAGGAGTGATATTTGACAGCCTTAGCACTCATACTTTGAGGAAAACACTAGCGCAAAATAAACAAAAGAGTGGGTGCTGACAGAGAGAGCTATCTAAGCAGCATCACTTAGCAGCTAGTAGAGTGGGCTCTCTTTGTAGCAACTTCAAGGGAAAGAGACCAATCTAAAAATGCCTTGAGAAGGCTTTGTTTGAAAATGCAGCATCATGTAAGAGCCATTTCAACAGATGGTTCTTGTCTCTTTCCTCATAGTATTATGCTAAAACAACTTTAGTGATTCTGAACCACATTGTTAACACTTGTAAAACCCCCTTCCCCAAAGCAGAGAATACTTCTCTCTCTCTCTCTGGCACAGCATCTAGTGGTCTGTATTTTCCTCCTCCCCTGGAACAAGGCAATAAATAATTGAGCTACTTTCAGATGGTCCTACCACATGGGGGAAAAACTAGCAAGAGAACAAATATAGATTTTTATGCTACAGTATTTTCTTTGCCATGGAAGCAGAACTTTCCATTCTTGCCTTTCGTGGACTTTAGATGATAATGAAAAAAAAAATTAAAAGGTGGTAGGCAGGAGGCAAGGAGGAAAGGGGAGTTCACGGAAGATTGCAGCTTCAGTTGGCCAGCAGGAGTCCCTGATTCCAACAGGTTCATGTATCTGATCAGTATAATTCAATGGCAAGCATCCTTGTTGCCTCATCCCTCACCTCTGAATTTGTGAGGCTAAGCCAGCAGCTTTCTCCTGAGTTTCTCTGCCATTGCCACCTTGGTAGTAACGCTATTAAAAACAACACACTTAGGACATAGTTATTTCAGTGAATCCACATGAGGAAATACTGAAATAGCACCTCCCTCCTCTCTTACATTTAAAAGGAAGAAAATGAAAAACAAAAACTAACTGGAAACCTAGTGTAAGTAAATATTTGTATTAGCAAATTTAAAAATCGAATACTAAAGATCCAGAAAGGGAGAAAAATCTCAACCTAAGCCATCATTAATGATGACTGTGAAATTTTCAGCCCATGTAAGTAGTCATAATTAGGTATAATTGCAGGGGACTGGATGGGGCTGGGATAGATAACAGAAGGTTAAGAAGAAATCTGCAAAACAGTCAGAGATTGTAGGACACTGAGACCATCAAAAACATCTAAGTGAAAGGCATAACTATGGAGAGAGTAAAAAGATCAGTGGTGGGGAGTGGGAGGTAATGAATAGGTGGAGAACAGGAGATATTTAGGGCAGTAAAACTATTCCATATGATACCATAATAGTAGCTACCCATCACTATGCATTTGTCAAAACCCACAGAATGTACAAGAGTGAACCCTAAGGTAAACTGTGGACTTTAATTATTAATTATGCGTCAATACTGGCTCATGAATTTTAACAAATGTACCACACTAACAAACGATGTTAACAATAGGGGAAACTGTTTTGGAGGAGGGGTATACGGGACTTCTGTACTTTCTGTTAACCTAAAACTGTAAACCTAAAAAACTGCCCTAAAAAAGAATAAAGTCTGTTAATTAAAAACAAACTCACACCTAAAAACAAATCCAGGAAAAAAAATTAATTAAGTATCTTACTTGCTTTGGTTTACATGAAAATAGTTTTAACCTTTTTTTAATGCACAAATTAATAAGCTAAAAGTGTATCAAATCAACAAGAACTGATTATTCAATAAAAGCACAGAATCCTTGGATTCTATTTAGTTCTATAATGCAATTATAGGAGAGGTTTTGATGAAAAGGTAGGCAGTCAGCTAGCTGAGTAGAATAAAGGAAAAAGAGCAAGTTGCTTAACCTCTTGGAGCATCACAGACTCCATCTATAAAAAGGGACAGTAACACCAACCATGGGAGGATTGAATGAGATAATGCTTACAAAGTACCCAGCACAATGCCTGGTACATGGTATATGCTTGATAAATGCTAGCTACTCTAATTTTTCATATTATATGACATCACACTCCTAACAGGGCTAACATCATGTGTTTAATCACCTTTTGTGCCAGTTAGCTTATTTCTTTTTTTTTTTGAGATGGAGTCTCGCCCTTGTCACCCAGCCTGGAGTGCAATGGCATGATCTCAGCTCACTGCAACCTCCGTCTCCCGGGTTCAAGCGATTCTCCTGCCTCAGCCTCCCGAGTAGGTGGGATTACAGGCGCCCGACACCACACCTGGCTAATTTTGTATTTTTAGTAGAGATGGGGTTTCTCCATGTTGGCCAGGCTGGTCTCGAACTCCCAACCTCAGGTGATCCACCCGCCTTGGCCTCCCAAAGTGCTGGGATTACAGGCATGAGCCACCGCGCCTGGCCAGTTAGCTTATTTCTATTCGAGGATACAGAATGCACCCCAGGTCCACTCATCTGCAAAAAGCATCCACCATAGTTCTGAAACGGTTGCTTCTCTTTTCCCACATGGGGGAACAAGGAAGAGGGCAGCCTTGCAAGGCAATGCTGAGGGATTTCAACTCCAGCATGCGGCTTGAGTGTTAAGCCTTTCAGGAGGGTGCGTAGGTGACGAAACCTGAGCTGGGGATCCTTACCCAGGCAGCCAAGGTAATCTTGTGAAATATACCCCGACAAACCTAGATTATCTCTAAGAAAAAGGGGTCTCCTGACTACAGTCGACTAGTTTGGCCTGAAGCCATGATCGAGCTGACACAGCCCAGACCCACTCTTGCCAAACAGTTTCCGTCAGCACGAGGCCATGTGTGAGTGAGTCCCAGAGCGATTACACAGCAGTGTGCAGAATCAAAAAGCATTTGAGAGCCAAAGGATGTTCATGATGCCAGGCACTGGCTAAGCAACCCCCTAAGCAGGGACAGGAAACAAGTCCAGGTCCCTCTGCAAACTCAATCCCTGTTCAGCCATAATCTCTGGCAGTCTTGAAGGCAGGTTTAGAATTCATTTGGCAGCCAAGCTATCTTAGACTGACCAGAGTTCTACTCAAACTTGGAACTGATAAGCTTTGGGATATAAGACCTTAAAAGGAAAGACAGGGAGTGGAAGGAGGAGGAGAGGCTGGGGGTGATTCTGTACTGTGTGGGCCTTCTCATACAACCCCCAGGCCTGGGAAGGCTGATGGTAATGAGGACTAAATGTAAGAATTGCAGCATCCAGGGCAGAATAAAATGGCTAGTGCTCCAATCTTACGCTTAAAAGGATTTTCATTTCACTCTTTAAGGCTATGTTTTAGATCCCAGTGAGGGCTCAATGAATGTATTTTCCTATAATGCTACTATGACTGGTATGGTCTGATACATATATATATATATATATATATATATATATATATATATATATATATATATATATATACACACACACACACACACACATATATACACACACACAAATACTCCCCATATTACGGTTATTATTAAAATTACAAGAAAATGTGAGATATTTATTGTGTTCAAAAGTCCTAAGAAGTTAAAAAAAAAAGATATATACAGATGCACTGTTATTTGTCTATGGCAAATAACTGCCTAATCAGCTGTGCTATAACTAGGGGAGCATATCCTCTCCAGCTTAACAAGGCAATGTAGTGTCTACTTAACCGGTTGGTACTTTAAGTACGCTTCAATACCATGGCAGCAACCTCTCTCTTCCAAGTTATGACCTGCTGCTCCTAATGTCTCATTTCTTAGGGTTCCAACTCTTCTACACTGGAATACCTCAGCATCAACCTGGGAGTCCTTGACTCCCACAATTCTAACCCCGACAGTTACCTTCCCACTGTTTCCCTGTCTAGTCTCATGCTATAGATCTCTTCAAGTTCCTTTGGGCCAGTCTAAGAGTACGGATACTGGCATTATAGAGACTTAGCTTAACGATTTATCCGCTATTTGAATTTTTTGTTGGTTTGTTTTTTGAGATGGAGTCTCACTCTGTCGCCCAGGCTGGAGTGTGGTAGTGTGATCTCAGCTCACTGCAACCTCCACCCTCCGGGTTCGAGCAATTGTCCTGCCTCAGCCTCCTGAGTAGCTGGGGCCATAGGCGTGCACCACCATGCCCAGCTAATCTTTTTGTATTTTTAGTCGAGACGGGGTTTCACCATGTTGGCCAGGCTGGTCTCAAACTCCTGACCTCAAGTGATCCACCTGCCTCGGCCTCTCAAAGTGCTGGGATTACAAGCGTGAGCCACCGTGCCTGGCCTCACTGTTTGACTTTGGATAAATAACTTATATAGACCCTCAATTTAACTCATCTTTAAAAATGGGGTAATTTCTTGTCTGAAAAGCTTATTGCAAGGATTAACTTATGTACCTTACACTAAGGCCTACGACAGTGCCTGGCAGACAGTAAATGAACAGTAGTCATTAGATTCTCCCCTGTTCCCACACTGTGTATCACATTCTGTGCTCTCAAGACTCTCCTAGCCTATGAGTGGCTAAAATAAGAACAGACAAAATCCAGGATTTTGGGACCAGGATGGCTTGACTTGTTTGACCTGACGTCATGCCCTGAGATGGACTGGCTTACTCAGTCAATCTTGCAAGCCTGTAACACAGTGAATGGGGGGTATGAACCTGAAATGAAAATGTTTCTTTTTACTCCAGCTCATTCCACAAAGGGCTGATGCTGCTCAAAACCAATTTTAACCATGTAAATTTTACCTACAAGTGGTATTTTGAAGTAGTTGGAGGAGTAAAACAAAATAAAATTTTAATATTTGGTATTTATTTTTCCTTCTTCTTACTGGGACCTGGAACATCATAATCATTGTATTTGTGCTTTTAAATAAGAAAAAACAGATTCCTAAGGGAAGGCAACTGTGTATGTGTGTGTGTGTGTGTGTGTGTATGTGTGTGTGTGTGTGTGTGCGTGCATGCTAGATTATGTCATAACAAAACTACAATCAATTGAATGGGCCTTTGATCAATGGAGCAAGATGGTGACAGGTACTCTTCATTCACTGTTAGTGATTATTGACAAACTGGTAATGATCATCCCAGACTGTGTCACTCATACTGAGGGCATTAGCATTTTTTAAAGGTCAAAAACAAATTCTTTTAAAATGCAGAATTTCTTAGAAATCAGGGAAGCCTCAGAATATATGAGACCCTCAGGATTTTGGTCTTTCTTTTATGCCTCACATCAAAATAATATTTAATTTTTCCTGATTTAAATTCTTGGTTGTCAAACAAACTGTGTGTCAAAATTCTTCCAATGGGTGAATGAAAAGGAGATTCTGAAAGCTTTTTTTGGTCTCTAGGAGTCCTAGGCAGAAAGTAAGCACAAACCAAGGCAAATCTGTACCAAATCAAAGCAAAATTATACTTACTCTGTGACACTCTTACTAGCTCAGTGACACTAAAAACACCTGATGTGACAAAACTGTCCTGGAAGCCCAAATGTCCTGGGGAAACAAAAACAAAAGAAAACAAAGTGTCATAAATACAAGACATTTGACAACAGAGCTTTAAATATTAGTTTCATTATGATTAACACATGTGGTGCCTAATCTCATTCTCTGCTCTCCTTGGGGTTTATGTGGGAGGGCACAGTCATTTAGCTAAGCAGATAGATTTTTGGTTTGAATTTCAAGGTTGTGCAAAGCTATGGTACAACAACTAGCTGATTTTTGAAATGGTTAAAAAAAATTCAACCGGAAATATGAAACAAAAGACAATTTACAATAAATAGTTACCTTGGGTGACCTCTAAGACCTTAACAATTGGGATAAAAACAGCATATCTAAGAATCACTAGGAGAGCTGCATTCCATCATAGTTTTTTAAACATTATTCTCTAAAGAAACATTTGATTGGAATTAGTTATCTATTCATTTAACTCAAACAAGATTTAAAGGTGTTCTTTTCTAGAGGCACCACAGGGTGAATTTTTAAAAAGTCAAAATAGAAAAAGCAAGCCCCAACTCACAAAACAGGAAAACAAATTCTTTTGAGCACAAATAAAAATTCAGATTATTTATACACCCCAAATTTTTTTTTGTGTCTGTTGATTTTTTTGAGAAAAGATAATAAATCAATGGTTCAAAAAGTGATTAATCTTCGAACTTTGTTTCTGCTTCATTTTTGCTGGATGCAATTAATTCCCTTTAAGACACCTGGTATTATGTCGATCACCAACTACTCATTTAATTTTATGATGCATTCAGAAACATAGAACTTATAAATGACAAGGAACACATAATCTATGGTATGTAGTTTCCCACTCTACCTCTAAAATTTTCTGATTCTATGACTCTCACACAGGTAGAGTCTAGTTGAGAGATCACTCCAAGGTCAGCTTAGTCTTTCCCTGCTTTAAAATCTGGGTCAAAAAATTGTTGGCCGAAGGGATTTTTGAAATAATTGTTCTTTGACATAAGAAACATACCTTGAGAAAATGCAATAAAAGAAAATAGACCAATCTGAATATATAACAATCCATAAACAAAATTTGTTATTAATAAAAGCTAGATTTCATACAATACTGAGGGAAAGCAAATTTACCTGTGGCACTGCATATCCACCAATAAATTTACTAAATGTCATACACATAAACACATGCAAAAAGTTGCCATGTTTTGGAGGAGTATAAATGGACCTGCAAGTTACTTGTCTTTTTTAGGTTACACTGGATTTTTGCATAAGAAATTTCTACTGAGATTTTTTTAAATTTCAGTTAACTTTTATATCAAACACATAATCTATGGTATTTGAGATGAAACAGTTCCAAGTTTTAGGATAGACAATAATTGTAAATGGCTTTTTGAAATAAAATGGCAAAATTTTACCATCAAAGTGCTCAAGAAATTTCACCTCTCAAAACCACCCACACCCAGGTATTCAATTGGCTTTGGTAAGCACCTAAGATGCTGTCTCTTAGATTAAGAGAACTGAGAAGTTAAAAAATTAATAAATAAATAAAATTCTCTAATGAGGTCTTGGCAAAACAGACCACAACATCTCTTTCTTATAGGGAGACCATCAACATTACATTTATCCCACAGATCACAGCAAAGGAAATCTAACCACAATGTACATTAAGGTTGACTTAAAACACATAGAACAATAACAAGGAAATTCATAGATGAATAGGAAAATCTGGGTTGATCTCCAGCTCTTGCTCATCCCTACCTTCTTTACTTGACTTACAGGCTGATACTTGTTTCAGTTCCAATCTTTGAAATTCCTCATTTTAAGGATGAACTAACATGAATTTCTGTATAGCGTGAATGTAAACACAAGGCAATTTAATCCTGCCACCAAAAAAGCAAGCAATATATTTTAAAGGCTAGGGTGATTTAGGTGCAAGGACTTGGGAATTGGGAAGACCCTTGCGTTCATTCATTCAAATTACCACCCTCTCCTGGTTGCCCCCTTTTCTTGTGTCCACCTCTTAAATGTTGGTGTTCTCCAGGGTCTGTGCTCATCTCTCCCTGTATGTGTGTGCAGATGTGTGCGTGTGTGTGTGTGTGTGGGGGGGGTGTATCTATTTCCTAAGTTATTTTATCTACCTCCATGTCATCAACTAGCAGTCTAGACTGTGATATTTGTGAAAACTAAAATAATGTTTTAATTTACCACTGTATACTTAATGCCTGAGACAAAGCACGTTAGTAAGTGAATATTTACTGAATGAGTAGATGAATGAATCTACAGGCCAATGACTCTCAACTCTTTATCATTTACTGAGATCTATCTCCTGGGTTCCAAACCCATAAATCTAAGTATTTGTTGGGCATTCCATCCAGATAGCCCACAGGTATTCTTAGAACCAACATGCGCAAAGCCGAATCCATTTTCTACTGCACCCAAAACCCGTTCTTACTCTTTTGAATTCCATATTTCAATGAACCATCGGCCACTCATCTAGTTTTTTGGCATCATCCCTGACTCCTGCCTCTGACAATCACCCACATCCAACCAGTCCCCACCGCTTCTGTGATTCCTGACTCTATGTATGTCTCCATCACCCTCCTGCGACTGTGGCTCAGGACCTTCCCTCTTCACCAGCATGGTGGGAAAGCCTCCTAACTGTGCTGTCTATCATCTCTCTTGGCTTGCTCTCCAATCCCCTCTCCACCCTTTAGCCAGGGCTGTCTGACAGATATGCAAATCTGATGAGTTACTCATTTATTCAATAAATGTCTACGGAGTACCTACTATGTGCCATGCATCATGCTAGGGGCACAAGATACAGTTCCCACCTTCAGGGAGTTTACAGAAACAGCTAAAAACATGTAAAAAAAATTACGGCAGGGCACTGTGGCTCACACCTGTAATCCCAGCCCTTTGGGTAGATCACAAGGTCAGGAGTTCAAGACCAGCTTGGCCAACATAGTGAAACCCGTCTCTACTGAAAATACAAAAACTAGCTGGGCATGGTGGCGAGCGCCTGTAATCCCAGCTACTCAGGAGGCTGAGGCAGGAGAATCACTTGAACCCGGGAGGCAGAGGTTGCAGTGAGCCGAGATCGTGCCACTGTATTCTAGCATGGGTGACAGAGCAAGACTCTGTCTCAAAAAAAAAAAAAAAAAAATTACTTTAAAAATGATAGGCCAGGTATGGTGGCTCAGGCCGGGGGCAGTGGCTCCCACCTGTAATCCCAGCACTTTGGGAGGCTGAGGTGGGCAGATCACAAGGTCAGGAAATCAAGACCATCCTGGCTAATACGGTAAAACCCATCTCTACTAAAAATAAAAAAAATTAGCTAGGCATGGTGGCGCACGCTTGTAATCCCAGCTACTCAGGAGGCTGAGGCAGGAGAACAGCTTGAACCTGGGAGGCGGAGGTTGCAGCGAGCCAAGATCGCGCCACTGCACTCCAGCCTGGGCGACCGAGTGAGACTCCATCTCAAAAAAAAAAAAAAAAGAAAAAAAGAAAAAAATTATAAATGGAGGCTGGGTGCGGTGGCTCATGCCTGTAATCCCAGCACTTTGGAAGGCCAAAGCAGGCAGATCGTTTGAGGTCAGGAGTTCAAGACCAGCCTGGCCAACATGGTGAAACCCTGTCTCTACTAAAAATACAAAAATTAGCCGGCTGTAGTGACGTGTACCTGTAATCCCAGCTATTCAGGAAGCTGAGGCAGGAGAATCATTTGAACCCAAGAGGCAAAGGTTGCAGTGAGCTGAGATTGCGCCACTGCACTCCAGCCTGGGTGACAGAGCAAGATCCGTCTCAAAAAAAAAAAAAAAAAATTATAGGCCGGGTGCGGTGGTTTATGCCTGTAATCCCAGCACTTTGGGAGGCCGAGGCAGGCAAATCACCTGAGGTCGGGAGTTAGAGACCAGCCTGACTAACAGAGAAATCCTGTCTCTACTAAAAATACAAAATTAGCCGGGCATGGTGGCGCTTGCCTGTAATCCCAGCTACTCGGGAGGGCTGAGGCAGGAGAATCACTTGAACGGGGAAGCGTAGGTTGTGGTGAGCCGAGATCGTGCCATTGCACTCCAGCTTGGGCAATAAGAGCGAAATTCCGTCTCGAAAAAAATATATATATATAAAATAAATGATATGAAGGAGAAAAATATCAAAAGCTTTAGAAAGGGTGGCCAGGGCAGGTCTTGTTTAAGAGCTGATATCTGAAAGATACGAAGGAGCCAAATAGGAAAAGAAGAAAGAGCTCTTCAGGCAGAGGATTAACATGAGCAAAGGCCCTGAGGCAGGAAAGAGCAAGATGTTGGAGACACTGAGACAAATCCAATGTGTTCTGAGCCCCCTGCCCTATCAGAAAGTTTACAAGAAATATGCATACAACAAAGAACTAGTATCCAGAATTGACAAGGAACTCAAATAAATCAACAAGAAAAAAAAAAATCCCAGCAAAAAGTAGGCAAATGATATGATCAGACATTTTTCAAAAGAAGATAGACAAATGGCCAACAAACATGAAAAAATGCCCAACATCACTAATCATCAGGGAAATGCAAATTAGAACTATAATGAGATGCCACCTTACTTCTACAAGAATGGCCATTAATAAAAAGTAAAAAAAAAATAATAGATATTGGCATGGATGTGGTGAAAAGGGTATGCTTATATACTGCTGGTAAGAATAAGTACCATCTCTATGTGAAACAGTATGGAGATTTCTTAAAGAACTCAAAGTAGATCTACCACTTGATCCAGCAATCCCACTACTTGGTACCTACTCAAAGGAAAAGAAGTCAATATATCAAAAAGACAACTGTATGTGTATGTTTACTGCCACACAAATCACATTTGCAAAGATGTGGAACCAACCTAAATGCCCATTGGCCAAGGAGCGGATAAAGAAAATATGGTATATATATATACCATGGAATACTACTCAGCCATAAAAAAGAACAAAATAATGTATTTTGCAGCAACGTGGATGGAGCCAGAGGCCATTATTCTAAGTGAAGTAACTCAGGAATGGAAAACTAAATACCGTCATGTTCTCACTTACAAGTGGAAGTTAAGCTATGGGTGTGCAGACGTATACAGAGTGATATAATGGACCGCAGAGACTCAGGAGGGGGCGGCTGTGTAGGGAGTGACGGATTAAAAAAATGCCTACATATTGGGTACAAGTTACACTACTTGGGTGAGGGATGCACTGAAATCTCAGACTTCACCACTGTACAATTCATCCATGTACCCAAAAATCACTTTTACCCCAAAGGTCACTGAAATGAAATATATATATGTAAATATATATTTTTATATATACTGTAAAACTTTGACAGAACTTCTTATTTCTGTCTCTCTGTCTCATTTGCAGCAATATAGTTTAAACTAAAACTGAGCTGATCTGCACTGGGAAACTATTAAAATGAAAAAATATATAATAAATATATATTTATATATAAGTAGATATATACATATCATAATAGTAGATATATACATATCATATATATATATTTTTTTTTCTTTTAAAAAGAAAGAATGCTTGCAAGAGCCCCACAGAACGTTCAGAGTACAGTACTAACTCCTTTCCATGGCATGGGACCTAGATATAGCCTCTTGTTTATTCTCTCTCACTTCTGGCCCTACCCTTGACCTAAGTGAACTGCAAGCTCCTCGTTGCACTGCTTCACTGCCATCCCCTGATACAGCTCCTTCTTCCTGAAACATCTGTTCTTCCTACTCCTAGCTTAACCACCTCCTAAAGTGTCTTTTAGAACTCAGCTTTGTTGTCACCTCTCACAAAAGTCTTCCCTGGCTGCCCCCACCACTGGGGAACACTTTTTTTCTCCCTTCTGAATACTGACCAGTTATACTCTATATTTCTCACCTGGGACCTGCCGTACGTGATTGTAACTTTGTCTTTTTCTCACATTAGACTGTAAGCCCTCTGAGGAGGGGAAGTATCTTCTGTGCCTCTGGCCCTCCAGGTCTTGACACACTGCCTGATGGGGTCAGTGTTCCTGAGATGCCTCAGAGTGAATGAAACTCAAACTGGGCTCACCTATGTCATTTTTCCTCTTGGTAAAATCATTGGCAGAACTTCTTATTTCTGTCTCTTTCTCTCATTTCCAGCAATATAGTTTAACTAAAACTGAGTCAGTCTGTACTGGGAAACTATGAAAATGAACCATCCACATATTCCCTCCAAACTAAACAGGATCAGGACAGGACAGGCAATGAAGCTTCTGGTCAGATTGATTCAGGCGTTTCTGATGATAAATGCCTGGGGATTGTCTTATTGTTCCCTTTATGGTTCATATTTTTAAAGTTCAAGTAAAAATAGAGTTAAAGGGCAGTAGCATTGTCCATCATGGCCATAAAGCTCCCTCCACCCAAAAAGGATCTAGTCCCAAGCTTAAAAGAAGATCTTGTGTGATCCTGAGAAAGTCACTGCAAAAATAACAATTTCATCCCTTTTCCCTACCAGCAACTTGCCTCCCAAGGCTTACCTTAGTGGAATGTGTGCAATTTAGAAGGTAAAACATATGTGAATGCACTATAATCACAAAAATAAAGAGTATAATTCTTTGGCAGATTTTTTTTTTTTTTTTTTTTTTTGAGACAGAGTCTAGCTCTGTCTCCCAGGCTGGAGTGCAGCGGCGCCATTTCGGCTCACTGCAAGCTCCGCCTCTGGGTTTCATGCCATTATCTTTCATGCCATTCTCCTGCCTCAGCCTCCCAAGTAGCTGGAACCACAGGCGCCTGCCACCACGCCCTGCTAATTTTTTGTATTTTTAGTAGAGATGGGGTTTCACTGTGTTAGCCAGGATGGTCTCGATCTCCTGACCTCATGATCCGCCTGCCTTGGCCTCCCAAAGTGCTGGGATTACAGGCGTGAGCCACCACGCCTAGCCTTCTTTGGCAGGTTTTGATGTAACCATCTCTTCACACAGTATTATCAGACAGCCTTGGCTAGATTATGTTTATAATATGTCCCCATGGAAAGGTCTGTGTAAACACTCCATGTAACTTTAAATGGTGATGAAACTGCTCTTGTTCCTTTACCAATTGCTTGGAAACCCACTGATGAACTTTGTAAGAAGACAGCAATGAGAAATGAAACCTAAGAAATGATGGAAAAAGTGATATTGCTAACACAACTACTAAGCAAACCTGAGTGAATTAATATTTCATTCTCATGAACACAAACCAAATCTTAAAAATGACTTGCAGGGAAATGACACTAATCTGATTGTTCCACTTTACTGCAAAGTAAGAAAAAAGTGGAAAAGAAAATAAAAAGGTGAGTTTAAGCGATTCCAAATTCAGATATTATTAATATTGAAAGATCCTCCATTGGAAAGCACATTAAACACTCCCAAAAGGTCCCAAGATTTACATTTTGAATAGGGCCTCTCAGAAAAAAAGTGCAAAACATGTGCTTTCATTAAGTATGTCTCAGATAAAAAGCCAGGTTGCACAATGTGCTATCTCTACAATTCTGTACTACTGTTCAGGAGCAATTGTACAGGAGATTGAAATGAGGAGCAGATCCTTTTTCATTTTATATAATATGGCTAAAAAAGTTCATTCACTGAAGTCTTGTTCATTGAATTCCCAATTAGAGCACAGACTTCAATACCTTGGAGTCAGTCATACTCGCAGTGGGGAGAGATTAAACTATATGGGAGAGGTAGAAATATAAAAAGCTAAATTCTTTCATGGGTAGTTAGGAGAAGCAGCTCTCTTTACCTTGATGATATCAGCAGTTATTATGGAAAATGCCATTACATGGGAACTAAATCTCATTTCATGGAGGAACTGAACATCTATCCGCCTTTTAGCAGGCAGGAGAGGAACAAAGTTAAGATTTGAAGAGAGACAGGTAACCTTGAAGAGCTGTTCAGAGGTCAAGGCCAGAGACACCTGGGAACAAACCACACAGGAGGCTGACCACTAAAGAAAGTTTTCAGGTCCAAGAAACAGAGTTAATTTTGCATCTGAGAAGGAAAGTTTATATCCAAGATGGTATTTTTGTTTTCTCTGCTGGAATATCAAGGGGCTGTCAGCTCTAAATGATCAAATCTCGTCTGGTTAAGGGATGTAGGCAAACTGCAATACCCCAGTCATTTCATCAAAAAGAACTCATCTCTATTCTAGTCTTCCTTTGGTAAATAGGGTTCCATCCCTAATAACAAGACAGGCCAATGATTACCAGGCTTCTCCATGCTGGTGTGCCTTGGCCACTTGACGGGAAAAGCTCCCTCCTTCTCACGCTGTTTATATTCCAGAAGGATTTTGGACTGCCTGTGCTGTGCAGGTCTGTGCTAGTCCCTGGGGACACTGCTCTCAGGGAACCTACATTCTCATCCTTCTAAAGAAAAGTTTACCTCATCAACCAGACTCCCTCCTTGGAATTTTAATTTCTCCTTCTGTGAATTCCCCACTGGCTTATGAGCCACCTGTGGGAATGTGGCTCGTTAATCTTCCCTCTCACCCCAACACAGAACATTTTAGGTGTGCTCAGGAGACACTATTCAATTAAGGAGAACTTCTCTGCTTGTCTTACGGCACTTGCCTCTTTCTACCTGACTGGACAGTTATTTGTTTATATGTATTATCTCTGCACTCCTACAACAAACCGGGGAGGGGAGGGTTGGGTCTCATTATCTCACATTGTCCACAGGGCCCAGCATAAGCCTTTATTCTAGGTGTGTAATAAATATTTATTTAGTGATTCAGATGAGTGACTTATGATACTGTTATTTGGTAGTCCTCTAAAGCGTGATGTAAATTTTTGTTAGCTCACCTACAGTGATATTACTTCTGTACTCTTAATTTAGATTATCTTGGAAAACAGTTTTTCCTTTTGAGGAGTCAGGTGCAGGGATGTTTCTGCTGATCCATTAATGCCAAATTTTAAATTTCTGGTCTGATTTCTGACTGTATAGTGACTATTTAAATTGTTCTGCCACTCATTGGTGACATTTGAGATACGGCTTATTTTTAGAATAATTCCTTATAGTTTAAAGAAATGCAAAAATTCAGATATCTAAAAAAGAACACAGGAGCAATAAAAGTACATATATATTCTGTTTGTGAGATTAACCTTTATGATAGTGGAGAAAAATTCACTTGGTAGTGTGCTTATGGTAAACATTAAAAGGTTGACATATGGTGTTGGACTGACAGTAAGGCTGAAACACTTCTATATCTAGAAAGTTGTGCCTGAGAATTTGCAAAATGCAGAAATGTTTGTCAGCTAATAATATGGATGAGGTGTTTTGAGATTCTCAGATGAATACATGGATTGCTTTAAATGCATTTGTAACATGGGTATGATTGTCATTTTGGTTTATCATGACACATTAAGAAATTGTCACCATTATGGAAATAATGTACTCTTAGACCAAAAGAAGAATGGGGCAAAAAGAGGTTTGAGAAGTATGTGTCATGGGACTTACACACTGTTGGCCTTCTTTTGTGGCTCCAAATTTCCCTGTGCTGCTCATTTACTGTTACTCAATACAGACACCTAATCTGTGTTTTTTTGTTTGTTTTTGCCATCATTGCTCACTCAATGATTTCTGCCATAGCCATAGAGACAGAGTCAATATTTAATTTACTGCTTCCATTCAATAAATGTTTACTTAATGTCTATTACATGGCAACCACAATCCTAGGACCTGGGATGCAACAGGTAAAATAACACAAGGTCCTTACTCTTGGGGACTTATGTCCCCAGTCAAGGCAGATATTTACAGCAAGATTTTCAGTAATGTATTTATATAAAATTCATGTTTTTGTAATACCTTTCTAGGAGAACATTAGAAACTAATAAAGACTACTGCAATATCTTCCTGTGATGAGTCTGCTGTTTGTCACACATATACGTGGTTGATAGCCAGAAAGCACACTTTCCAGACTGCCTTACAGTTAGGAGTGGCCACAACCAGAAAGTGAACGCAAGTGATACAATCAACTTCTACCCCCACGTACCTGAAAGGAAATTCTTGCCCTGAACATTGTCTCTACCCCTTTTTATGAGCGAAAACACTTTCTACCATGCAGGCACACACCCGTGGAATAGCAGAGCAGTAAGACAGAAGGAACCTGGGACCCTGAATGACACTGTGGAGTAGAACCATCCTGCCAACTTAGGCTGCTCATCTGGGAATATTAACAGAAAGAAAAATAGATTTCAATATACATTAACTACTGTATGTTTTTGCGTTTTATTGGTTGCTTTGTTATAGTAGCTAAGCACTTACCCTAACCCACATAACTACTAACTTATCCCTTTTGAATCTAACGTGTCACAACTTAGCAGCCCTCAGGCCAATTCCAGTCTACAAACATATTTTGCTAGTACAGTATGTATTATTAATCTGCAAAGGAATGCTTTTAAACTAGACATGAGAAGTTAAGTGACTTGCTTAATGTCACACAGATAGTGGCAAAATTAGGATTAGAACACAGGTATATTTACCACTCTTTATATAATGAATTTTATCCCATTTTAATCCATGATTTTTAGCATCAGAGACTTAATTACCCAGTCTAATCCAAAGGCCTTGTCACATCTTTTCACCAATTCCTGCAGTTAATAAAGGAAGGGTAGCATTTAATTAAACTAAATGTGATTGCCCAATGACTTCATAGAAAGAAAGTTCATGAGTTTTAAGTTCCAAGTGATTGAGCAATTAAAGGACTATGTCTATTAGATATCAAAATATCTAAAAATAAAAGTGAAAAAAGATTTTTACCTATTTGTATCTTTGCAAATATCAGATCCATGGCATCACACAATGAACTGGATATGGAAGGGACCTTAAAGTTCATCTAGTAGTGGAGTAATAATCGTCATGTTGCAACAAAAAAATTGTGGTTAATAAAAAAATGAGGGGTTAAAAAAATCATATTTCCCTGAATATGTCTACCTTCCTATAACTTGTAATTTACCTAGATTTTGTCCTCTGGTATAGGCAGAACAAATGTTGGCTCTCTTTATTTCTACTATCCTTCAAATATCTGAAGACATCTCATCAACCTAATTTTCTCTCTTCCAGGCTAAATATCCTTCCGTCCTTCCTTCCTTCCTTCCTTCCCTTCCTTTCCTTCCTTCCTCCCTCCCTTTCTCTCTCTCGTCATGTCAACAAATTATTTTCCCCATTTCCCCGAAACATTTAGAATTATGCATTTATTAGTCTTAAAAGCTGAAACAGTTGTTTTGCAAGCGGACTCAACTGAAAATTTAGACTTGTACAAGAACAGAGAAACAAAAATAATCTTTAGGGATTATTTTAAAAATTTAAACACTTACTTTAGCACCATTTTAAAAAACAGAGAATTTTGCATCATATTAGAAAAGCTAAGGTCTTCTGTAATTAGCATAGTATCAGTATTTTATAAGCTTAATATTTTAAAATTAATTTTATGGTTTTAATGCACTATAAATTAACATTTTTTAATTAACCCGGTTTTGAATTAAAGAGGTTTTTTAAAAAGCAAACTTATTGTTTTTATGTTCTGCATCAAAGTTTCCTCTAAACTTGGACAGTAACAACTGGTAATTTGCAAATGAATCAAGCTATTTGTAATAGCTTTAGTTTCTGCTTATGAACTTTTACATATACTAGGGAAAAAACAGGGAAATGTATTCCCTGAATACATCAGAAACTGATTATCTTAAGTGAAACAGACATGAAACTGGATCACCTGAGGGCTACCCTGGTTCATGGACGTTAAACAGCAAAAAATCGTAATGGCCCATCTCCCTTTTCTTCCTTTTTAGGTTTTATACACAGGGCTGTGAGACAGACCATTTACAGAGAATCCTGCTTGCTAAACCACCTGAGGACACATGCAATGATAATGAAAGTAGATAGCCAGGGGCCATGTGCTAATTTTAAGATACTCAACACTGATTTTGGTTCACCAAGCATGGAAAGAAAATCCTGGATGGAGTGAAGCAATAATATTTTTTAAAAATCCTTACAATTACTTTTCTAAGACTCCAAATATTAAATGTACTATTATATACGTCTCCAAATATAAAATAAAACTAGCTAATGTTTAGAACCACAAAATGCAAAGAGCTTTCATCTTTTCAAAAGTCATTTTTTGTGTAATTCTTGCTCATTTACCCAGTAATTAGTTATCGATGCCAAAATTCACCATGTTTATTAAATTGTGGAACCTGTATTATTCACTTCTGCAGATACTATGGCAGGCCACAATCATGTGGGTCACAATACTTTGAAGTTTGCTGGCCTAGCACAAAGTATTTTAGAAGTACCAGAAAATTCTTTGTGAAATGTAACAGAATGAATTAGACTGTTCAGGCCATGTCGTGTTAGCACAATGGAGGAACACTTTTAAGACTTTAAAGTCATGTAATGCAATTCTAGGCTGGATTTTTCTTGTTTAAAAAAAAAAAAGAAGTAGAATGGGAGTGGTTGGAAGAGAAAAGGGCCAATATTTGACAACAGAAATCAGCATAACCTTTTAACTGCAGCAGCCATGGGTGACTGCCCTTTGACCTTGGAAGATTATGTGAGATTTCAATGACAACAGCTGGAAGTGAGCATGTGTGAATAGAGAACACAGATCTGAGGCCTGGTATAAAAGACTGCACAATCTCTGCCCAGATCAGAGTGCTGATTAGAAATTGTTTCCTGGTCCTGGCTTAATAGAGTGTGATCATGAAAGTTGGTGTGTGTGTGTGTGTGTGTGTGTGTGTGTGTGTGTGTGTGTGTGTTTAATTCTTCCAGGAAGAAATCATTGGTGGATTTCTTCCATATCCATTCTACTTCTTCAGCCCCTTCAAATCTTCAGGATTTTCATATAAAACAGGCTCCTCTTTCTTCGAATAAAACCTTCGCTCCTTTTTGTAGACAAAATATCTTTAAGTTATAGAGTTCTCTCCTTGAGTTTTAAAATAACCTCTACTGGGGCATTTCACATAGGTTATCATTATTTTTTGTTTAAGGATCTGTCACTCGCAAACAGACAGACACACACAGACACACAGCTTGAATAAGGACTCAGTTAAAGTGGGGATCTTACTTCTCTCATCTTTCTGATTCTACCATTTGTACAATGTATGACATATGGTGGGTACTCAGTATATCTGTGATGAATGAACACAGAAATGAAACATCTATTCTTAATAGTTTTTTCCTTTCATTCTTGAGATGTAATGGAAGATTCCTGCTACTACACAAACATATGTATAATTTCATCTTTTTTTCAACCAGCTTCATATATATTTTACCAATTTTTTAGTGAAGTCTTTAGGTGTAGTTTGCCAAACATAAACACAAGAGAAAGATTAGTAATTACTTCCTTTCCAAGGCAAGGTAACTTAGTCCAGTAGATACAGGCTACCTGGTGAATGTGGTAATTTCCATGCATAAAACCCTCAATGAATTATATTCACTGGGCTGAAGTACATGTACACTGACACAGATGCACTCTCAGATTCCTACACAGGACTCCATACTTGCTGACACTGCTCTGAAACCACCAGAATGATGCCATATGATTACTGAAAGGGCACTGGGTTATGACTCATTTACGTTGTTTTGGTTTTACCATACACTCTATCTTACCTTCTATTACTCTGGATTTTGCTAACTCTTTTAGCTCTGGATTTTGCTAACTACTCTAGTTTCTATATCAAATTAGCTTCGGTAGAAGGTGGCCTTTCCTCTATGCAAATACCTTGAGTCGGGCAAAAACCAACCTGGCTGAACAATAAAGGACAAGGAGAAGAAACTGGCGAAACTGTCTTCCAAATCAGACATGGGTCATCTGCCTCCATCCTTCTATAGCAACTCTAGATGTTATTCCAAACAAGCCACAGGACAGATTGTTTTTTCAGAACAGACCAAATCCATTTGCTGTTTCAAAATTCTATAAACAAAGCATTAAGGAATTCAATTCCCAGAGCAACTATATGGGTGTTGGCTTTAGTTTCATGGGAGCGTCTGCCAAGCTCACATATTTGTAGAACTATTGGTTTAGAGTGTCCTTTGCAGCTCAGAGCAGGAGGGACCATTGCTTGTGATCTCAATTCACTTTAAGGACTGGGTCTTGCTGGTGACAGGTATACATGATAAATGTTCCAGAAGGCTGACCTAATTTCCGTTGAAGTGAGTGTTTTGCTAAGAACATTCCCTCAAAGTGTCAGCTTGCAACCACGGATTCCAACATGCCGGGGTCCATTCTCCTCAGCGACTTATTACCATTGCTTGTAAAACTTCCCTTAAAATGAAGTTAATTTTGACTTATTTATCCACCTTCTCCAGACTTAGTTTTGAACTTAAGTAAGTTATATATCTAATGTAAAATATGTAATTATCAAACATAGTAAGTTTCATAGTTTTTAGTTGTTTGTGATCTGAAAAAAACAAATACTCAGGGCTAAATATGAATCGGGGTGAATTTGCAATGTACTTGTCTTTTCTCTTGTAAAGGGATCTATATGGCAAAATGTTCATTCATCTTTCAAAAATCATATTTCCAAGATATTATTTATTTACAATAAAGTAGGAGGGGCAGTATTACAGAAATTATAATTCCAAAATCCTAAGCCTCAATTTCCACACCTGTAAAATGACACTAATGATTATACTTACTTCATAAGTTTGTCATTAGGAATAATGAAATAGTACACTTAAAATGCTTAGCAAAGAACCTAGAACACAGAATGTGTTCAAAAAATGATAACTGTTATAAATAACAAACATAATCTTTATATCTTAGATCTTCAATCATACAGGGAATTTTTAACAGAAAAAATTAAGAAATAACCACATTCTTTTCACATGGAATGTTAAATAATGCAAGTATTCTTATAAAAGTTGTCTATAAAAATCAAAATGTAGATAATGTAATTTTATTTAAGTGAATTTTTGAGTAAAAAAATTATTTTCTAAAGCTAGTAACAAATTATTAAAAATAAATTCTCTAGAATTTTTTGATTTTTCTACAAAAAGTGAGAAATAACAGTACTTAGTCTCTAAGCTATTTTAAATGTTAGAAATCTAATTCCTAAATATAATCATATTAGTATATATATTTGTGTGTTTATGAAAATAATTGTTTATAATTCCTCAAATATTTTCAAATATAAATCACCATCTCTTCTTTAAATACATATTGAATATCTATAGAGGCCAAGCATTATTCTAGACATAAGGATACAAATTTTGGTCTTATATTTTTGGGATGATGACTACTAATACTCTAGAAATGGACGTTAGGTCAATCTTACTTGCAGGAGATCAAGTTTTATCTACTTTTTCATAAATAATGTACAGAAGTATATAGAGAAAGAATTAAAAATGGCCTCCTTTTTCCAGTTTCACTTTATTTTTTAAAAGACTTTCGTTTGCTGAAAATTCCTGTTGATAACTAAATATGCCATGCTGCCTGCTCTAGGAAACTGAATTTAATTTATTTAATTTAGAAATCTGATTTTATTTTTCAGTATTTTTTTGAAAAAAAGTTATTTAAATTTTTTTAGATGTGAAAGTACTTCAGATGGTATAAAAAGGCATATAAAATAAGCAATTAATATTAACACTAAATGCAGAAATAACTTTTTAAAATAAACTACCCTCTAGTGCAGAGCCTCCACACTTTAGCTCCTTCCGTCAATACAAATGGAGAATCATCAGAAAGCATCATTAAAGAAAGGGTCTTGATTCCTTATAGCTTTAAATCAATGCTGAAAGAATTTGGCCTTTTAGGCAGGAGAATGATCGACACATTTCACTTGACTGACTTTGATCATTGAAGCACTTTATGATCCAGGCCACTTCCTTGATTTTAGGGAACATAACCTTTGACTCACAGAACGTGTTGAGGACATCTCAGACTCGGCTCCAAGTAAGAGCGCTCTTGTTCTTCTCGGAACCACTACAATGTTTCTCATCAGGGTTATCAGCATTCGGAGGGGAATCAGTTCCAGTGTTTAGAACTGCCCTGTCCCCTCAGGATGCTCAGCATCCCTGGCCTGCACCACTGAATGCCAGCAACATCCCCTCCTTGTGAGCACCAAAAATGCCCTCACACATTTTTGAATACCCTTAAGGAGAGCCATATGGTCCCTGGAGGAAAATACCCTCCAGTGTATAAACACTGCCTTAAGACCTCAGCAGGTATTTAGTACTATGTGATCTTGCCACTGTTGAGCTGTCTGACTTATATTCTCTGTAATTAGAATATAAACTCTTATAAGGTCAGGGACTGATTATTACAATTCTTTTGAAATGCCCCTTCTTCCTCAGCCATACCCTCTACTCCTCACCCTTACCCAAGTATCTAACTCAGATTTTATAGTGAGAACTTGATTTTAAAAACTGTTATATCTAAACTACTATCTTTGGTTGAGGGGGGTTGGGAGGAGACTCTCAGACATGTGGTCTATAAATATAAACTCGACAATTTGGACTTTCTGGAAGAATCTTGATTTTGAAGATTGGCTTATCAGTCCGTATGTGGACGAGAGAGTACATTGGCCAAGCCTCCCTGATCTCCTTTTGTTGTTGCTGAGAAGGTGTGTTCACTGCACTAAAGCTCTCAGGAACATTCAGACAGCATCTTATTTGTTCACGACAGCATCATTGTACCTAAAAGTCCACAGACTCTATGGAAATACGAAATAACATGTAAAAATTGAAAATAAATATGCATTCTGTTCTCTGCTCTCAACTCAAGGATGCAGGTGAACTAAAAAGACACAGCACCAAAATGACCCGTCCTTATTGCTAAAACCAAATGAACACAACCCTGAAAATATACAGGAAACAAAATTAAGCAACAACAGGCTACATAATGTCAACCAACCATGAATTCCAATGAGTGCCTTTGTTTCAACTGCTTGTTCAGAAGTAGGGCAGCTCCTCCAGCTCTAATATTTTTCCCTCTAATCATTCTGATACTTTATTGAATATCTGTCATTTTTACAAAATTAAGAGCCAATGGCTGCTACCCAGTACCAGGTTGCATGGAAGTCCTTCTGCTTTGCGATTACCAAAGAATACTCCCTTAGTTAAATTCCTACCTCTAACATCAGAAAATCGATCAAATCTCCCAAGGTTGCAGCGTAGTCACAGACCAGATGCAAAGTACCATGTTTATGCATGTATACACAAACATATATGTATGCGAGTTCAATTTCATTTACTCCCTCGAAAACCCACACAGAGAAAAGCACTTTCTTGTCAGATGTTAACTGTCAGGGGCACTTGAAATATTTTTCACTACCGTAGGCATTTCTGACCCTCAGTGTCACCATTAGCAACAATGCCATAAGGGACATGATTTGTAGCTAATTTGAACATGGAGCCCTTCTGGCCACAGCTGGTGAAGCCAATAGCATTCTGCTCTCTTATACAGTAAATCGTTAGAAAAAGAGTCAGTAAGCTCAATGGCTAATTTCTGATGTTCCAACTACCATTAAAAGGGTTAGAGAGAAGCTAAATGTAGTGTTTTTTTTTGTTTCAGGTGCTTTAATTATAAACCTAAAATGTTTCTCTACAGCCTGATTTATTCATTCAACAAATATCTATTGATGCCAACCTATAAACAAATACGAACAGTGAACTCAGAACATATATCAAAATATTTCGTGTCATCAAGGGCTCACAGATTAGTCAAAACTTCTTTCAAAGAACAGCTAGTGGGGAAGGCTTGATTCACACCAGGAAGATCCAGTTCAAATGTCACCACCTTCTGATATCATTTCTGTATCCTTAGAGCATCACAGGTCGCTGCAATGTAGGCCTCAATAAATACTGATGACTGCTTGAGAGGAGATGAAAGTGCAAGTCAAATTTATGGGGGGCAACAAGGATAACCCTATGGATAGGAAGTCAAGTGTATATGTTGGAGGCAGAGTATAAAGTGAGTACCATTGTCAGACAGAGGTTTGAAGAGATGATAGAGCCAAAATTTGGAAGGTTTCAAGTAATTTTGAGAGTATTCTGTAAGTAATAATCAGGTGGAATCATAATTTAGTGCATTATCATTATTAGAGGAATATTTTTCTTATAGCTTATTATTTACTTTTATAAGTCAGACATGGGTTTCACTCAATTACTAGCTTTGTGACCTTAAGCAAGTTAATTAAACTTTCAATAATTTACCCAAGAAACCTTTGTTGAATATCTTCTCTGCTTCAGGTACTATGGTAGGCATTAGAGTGTACCTCTTTGACCTTCAGGTCCTTGCAGTCCAGTAGGGGAGGCAGGCCAACAGAGGAAGCATTACAATACAATGTGGTAAGGGCTCTGGTAGTGGAAGCAGGCTCTGAGGGCACAGAGGGGGGCATTAAACTAGTGAAAGGGCTAGGGAAGGCTTTGTGGAAGCAGTGATGGCCTATACAAGTCATCAAAGACCAGCAGGATTAGTGACGTGAAGTGCAGGAAAGTGACACAGTTTTTTTGTGGTTGTAAGAATAACAATAACAATAAAGTGATACGAGCTAATATTTACTGAGTGCTCACTGCATGCCAGATATTCTCCTCAGCTTTGCCATGTGTTATTTCCTGTAATTTTCAAAGTGTTATGAGGTAGGTGCTATTACATATTATAATTTCATTTTACAGATAAAGCACAGTCTAAGGTCACACAGACAGTAACTGGTAGAGTCGGGATTTCAACTGAAGCAATGTAATTAACTAAGGCACTGTTCCCTAATTGCACGAGTAAGAACACCTACTCCAGAGGCGGAAGCACTTAGAACAGGTTTGGAAGATGATGATGGATTATAACCATTATTGTAATCAATGTGTACATACAAATTCCTGATGTGCACATCTAAGTACCATAGATTTTTTTTTCTCACCAAATGATGGACTCAGTAGATTTTACCCAAACCAAAACTCCAGCTTTACAGTCCAGGGAAAGTGTCTGATAGAGTGTGGATGTTGCTCCCTCTAAATCTCATGTTGAACTGTAATCCCCAATATTGGAAGTGTGGCCTGGTGGGAGGTGATTGAATCATGGGGGCAGATTTCTCATGAATGAAACAGTGCCATATTCTTGGTGTTGTCCTCAGGATAGTGAGTTCTTGCAAGATCTGGTTGTAAAGTGTGTGTCACCTCCCCAACCCCTTCTCTTTCTTGCTCCCGCTCCTGCCATGTGACCTGTCTGCTCCTGCGTCACCCTCTGCCATGAGTGAAAGCTCCCTGAGGCCTTCCCAGAAGCCCAGCAGATGCCTGCAGCATGCTCCCTGCACAGCCCACAGACCAGTGAGCCAATTAAACCTTTTTTCTTTATAAATTACCCAGCCTCAGATATTCCTTTATAGCAAAGCAAGAATGGTCTAATAGTGTGGTTCATCAAACAACCTGGTGGGAAGGTTGTTTCTTCCTTATCAATACCACTGAAGCCATTCTCTCTGAATACAATTTGTCACCGCTAACACACTTCCCCTCTACTTCTTCCCTCTGGGCTCTATCCTTGCCCTACTACTATCCTTGACTTGGCCTATCTTTGCCTACTACTTAATTTACTATATTTCTGTTCATATGTGCAAGGATAAAGCGACACCAAATTAATAGTAAAAGGTGGGAAAGAACAAATTAAAAGTAATATAAATTAAAAGTAAAAGGTGTGGGACAGAATTACTAAAAAGTATTTTTTTGTTTTGGTTTGATTTTTTTTTAACATCTAATGAGATTCTGAATAGAATAACCCTTATTGTAAAGAAGTCCTAATTTGAAGTTGGGCATGGTGGCTCACACCTGTAATCCCAGCACTTTGGAAGGCTGAGGCAGGAGGATCACTTGAGCCCAGGAGTTTGAGACCAGCCTGAGCAATATAACAAACCCCATCTCTAAAAAATAAAAAAATAAAAAATACAAACAATTAGCTAGGCATGGTGGCATGCACCTGTAGTCCCAGCTACTCAGAAGGATCACCTGAGCCTGGGAAGTTGAGGCTGCAGTGAGCCATGATCGTGCCACTTCACTCCAGCCTGGGTGACCACGTTGTCTAATCCTGTCTCAAAAAAAAAAAAAAGTCTTAATTTGAATTTTTTTCCAAGTCACAACATTGGGGAGAAGGTCAGCAGTGAATTATAGAATGTCACTAAAAACCACAATTTAGGAGCTCACCTGGTTTTACCAATCATGTTAGACAATACAGAATTCTAATAAAGAAAAACCCTGGAGCAATGTTGTTATCTGTGTTTTTACCTGAGGGCCCCTTGGGCATGTGGACACTGCACTTACAAAGGTTTCACATGGACAAAACATGAGGGAGAGTACAAATCTCTTGCTTGGCAATGGTTTACCTCCATGAACTCTACTTCCCACACCCAAAGAGCAGGCCAACTGTGCTGCAACTGTGCACTCACAAGTCTACATAGGCAGGCTTATCATTACAGGCATATAAGCTTGCCTGTGATATAGAGTGCAGGTGTTACTGCACAGAATAGCTAACATATGGCTCCCCACACTTTGGTGGCAGCCAACCCCGATGAAATAACACAGTCTCCAGCACAGTTCCCAGTAAAGGCCACGGGAGAGGAATGCAATGGGCACCATTTCCTAATACTCCTGATGTTATTTCTAGGAGCCTATGACTGCAAAGGTGATTCCAAAGGGCTCTTCACCACTGGTGGAGGTGCTTCAAGCCTCCAAAGGGTGGGTGGATTATTTTATAATACTGAAATTCTTAAGAGCTTACAGAATACTCAAACATTAACGGTTAAGACTATACAGCCCATTAATTTGAAGATCATTCCATAATGTGTTTACTAAATGGATTAGTGAATTATTGGTGCCACAACATATAGAAATTTTGTTTATTAAATGGAATTCAATATGTTAGTTCTTCTTTTATCTTAATTTGATGATTGTCAGTTGGGGTGATTTGCCCCCAGGTGACATTTGGCAATGTCTGGATACATTTCTGGTTGTTACTACTGGGGAATGCTCCTGCCATTTGGTGAGTAGAGGCCATGGGTGCTGCTAACATCCTACAACGCACAGGACAGTGACCCACACATAGGACAATGCACGTGACAGAACACCAAAGTATCCTGCCCAAAATGTCAATGGTGCTGAGGCTGAGAAACCTTGACCTTATTTTTACTGAACTCCCTACAGTATGTTTTTTTTGTTTGTTTTTTGTTTTTTTGAGACGGAGTTTCACTTTTGTTGCCCAGGCTGGAGTGCAATGTCGCGATCTCGGCTCACCGCAACCTCCACCTCCCGGGTTCAAGCGATTCTCCTGCCTCAGCCTCTCGAGTAGCTGGGACTATAGGCATGTGCCACCAAACCCGGATAATTTTGTATTTTTAGTAGAGATGGGGTTTCTCCATGTTGGTCAGGCTGGTCTCGAACTTCCGACCTCAGCTGATCTGCCTGCCTTGGCCTCCCAAAGTGTTGGGATTATAGGCGTGAGCCACTGCACCTGGCCTACAGTATGTGTTTTTTTAAAATTACTTTCAGAAAACGCGATGCAATACTAACTAAATACCTACTATTCATTAGTTCATTTCCCTAAAACACACCAAGGGCCTACTATGTTCCAGGACTGTGTCAGTACTGGGGATACAGAGATAAAGACTGGGACCTGCCCATCAGGAGCTTGCACAGGTGAGTAAGAGTGGAAAGAGCACACAGTGGGCTCACCACCCAGGTGGAGTCACATGTGTGCCAGGGGCAACAAAAGCGCAGAGCAAGTGGCATCTAAGTAAGGCCTCTCAGAGAGGATATACAGGAAATTCAGAGGAAGGAAGGAAGGAAGGAAGGAAGGAAGGAAAAGAGGGAGAAGCAGGAGGAGGGGATGAGAGGGGAGGGGAAGGAGGAAGAAAGGAAAAGAGAAAAGAAAGAAGGCAAGTGGCACGTTTGGTTTGTGATGGCTGGAGCTGGGACTTCTGGGAACACTGATGAGGCTGAAGAACCAGGCAGGCCTTTCTTAACTGGGACGTGACTGGCATTTGGGGAAAGTTAATTCTTTCTTAGGCAGGTCTATCCAGAGCATTACGAGACATTTAAGATCCCTCACTGCCCTCTTCCTTTTCCCCCCATACACTAAATGGCAGAAGGTGCTTCCTCCCCAGGCATTTTGACAAGCGAGGGAGAGCCTCTACTTGTCCAAGTACCCCATAAGCACCAGCATCGCCTCCTCACTGGAGCTTGGGTAAAGTGCTGAAGAGTTCCTGAAGAGTAGTAAGCTTCCAGTAATGTGATCAGATGGAAGATAACATGGCAGTTCTCACTGGGAAGAGAGTTGAGCCCCTTTATCTCCAGTGGTCTTTTCCTACTGCTGTGTCTTATCCTTGTTGCAACAGACTTGTTAAAGTTTGATATCACATATACACAGCAGAAAATGTGGCCATCGGCCCAGCACACTAAAGAGATTTTCAAAACACAAAGAAACATTGAATTGATTAACATTTCACCTGAGATACATCTTAACTGAGCAACTCCAACTGGGTCTTACTTTGTAAATTATCTCTACCATGGTAAAACACTCTAGGTATTCTTACATATTCAAAGCAAATGGCTTTAAAAACAGACTTCCATTTTATTAAAAAGTTAAAAGAGAAGCAACTGCTTTTATTGCATGCAACCATTCTATAAAATAGAAAATTAAAGGGAGAAGGTAACATTCACCTAAATTTATTTATTTCTGGAGACGGCGTTTCACTCTGTCACCCAGGCTGGAGTGCAGTGGTGCAATCTCGGCTCACTGCAACCTCCGCCTCCTGGGTTCAAGCAATTCTCCTGCCTCAGCCTCCCAAGTAGCTGGGACTACAGGTGCATGCCACCACACCCAGCTAATTTTTGTATTTTTAGTAGAGACGGGGTTTCACTGTGTTGGTCAGGCTGCTCTCAAACTTCTGACCTCGTGATCCACCCACCCTGGCCTCCCAGAGTGCTGGGATTATAGGCGTTAGCCACTGCGCCCGGCCACATCCACCTAAATTTCTATACTTTTGGAATTTGCTTTTACTCCTTGAACTGATGAGAACCTGGAGCCATGTCTTTATATACATAAGCCTTTGTGTGAATTTTGTGTTTTTTTTTTTGTTGTTGTTGTTTTTCTCACTGTGGAAAGCAAGGGAAAAAGTATTAGAGGAGGAAGGGAGATAAAATATGTCCAGAAACATGAAAAGACTTATGTAAGGAAAAATCATGCATACATTTGTGGATCGGGGGCTTTTTTGGAAAGTGTGTGGGGTGCTCATATCTGGCCCCAAATTAAAGATAACGAGTACTGACACTGGAGAAGGAGTCAAGACTCCAAGATTCGTAGGACACACGTCACATGTAGGGTCTCTTCATATTCAACCCTTACAACATCCCCTCTATAGAGATGTTTGGCACTGGGCTCCATAAAATTACTACAACGTACAAAGTGTTAGAGCTCAGACGAAAGAAGGAAAGGCTTTGTAAGGAAAATTGGAGGAAAGGAGGAAGCTGGGGAAAACTCTATAGAGTATTCACAGACATAGTGAACAACTAGTCTCTATCTACTCTGATGAGTGTGCAAATGGAAAACGGATTGAGATCTTAGCCCTACAGTGTAGGTTACTAAATGATGGCATGGATTTCTTACGGCTTCTGGAGAAGTGCTGGGTTTAGGGAGCTTTACATCAGCACTGGTTCTCAGTCATTCAAAATAATTAGGTTATGGTTACTCCTTGGAATATAGCATGGAGTATCACCACCAGGGCTTCTGAATCAAGACAAGAACAGCAATAACAACAGCAGGAACAGCAATAGTGATCATTTATTGAAGACTTACTATGTACCTGAAACTAAAGCTGCAAAGAAATCTGAAAGTTAGGTACTAACTTCTTTGCTTCCTGAGAAAACTAAGACAGAAAGTTTAAATGATTTGCTTGAGGTCACACTACTAGAAAAGGACAAAGCCAGGATGTAAACCTAAATGATTTCCAAGCCCATCTTCTTCCCACAGGGGCACCATCCTCACTGTACCATGGTTTGCCTTTATGCAAAACTGCAACTTACTATCCCCAACAGCTCACTAATATAAAACAGTTCTATTTCACATATAGCCTTTAAAGCATGAACCTGGATTATACACACCTGAGAGGGAAGTCTCGTCTAACTCATTTTAAAAAGAAATCTTTGCTCTTTCCTATGGTGTAACACTCAATGAGACCTTAAGCAATTTTTTATTATTGATGATGATGATATCTTATGGATTTTTTTCTACTCATTTACTCCTTGACTTGTGCACTAAAATGGCAAAGCATATGAGCAACTGCATTCATGTTTCGTTAAAAGACTGTCATCATCACCTGCTTTCTACCATTACTAGAAAGAAAATGTGACTTCCTTCATCTCTGTCCTCCTCTGCAACATTCATACAGAGATAACCTGGCTGCTACTGCATTTTTCCAGCTTAAAAATTTAAAGCCAATAAATCCAAGTACTACCAGGTTATTCTGCTAGACTTGTCCTTCATCCAGTTCAGCTACAGAAGGGGATAATGATCTGTCATAAAGGTAAATTCATTACCACGAAATAATATCATCATACTTCTACTACCCATTTTCACAGCAAGGCATGCTCTCTCTGTAATGCTGTATCTTAGTCCTCTGGGGAGCAGTTTACTGCTGACACAATAATAATAACAACAACAACAACTGACATTTATAGGAAGACAAGACAGCCTGTATTTTCTAACTCTTGACAAAGAAGGGCTCCCACCTCTACTTCAGATGCATCAGTTATCATCACAAAATGCTCAGAAAAATCCAGAGTCTTTAAAAGATGCTAGCAAATGGATCTCCTAAAGATTCATGAAAGTTTAGCTGTCACAAACAGGTAACTCAATTGCCAACCTCCTTGTGCTGGGGAAGCACTGATAGTGGCATTACTCCAGAGCAACTTAATAAAACACAAAACAGAAGCACAGTCATATGTGGGTACTGGAAATGATTCTTTATGCATTGCTGGCTGATTCAATGGATCACTCGACACACTTATCCAGGTGACTGATTCTCAGATTGGTTTAAGCAAATCCCATTTTCTGGTGTTGGGTGGTGGTGTTCTCTTAGTCCTTTTGGGCTGCTGTAACGAAACACCATAAACAAAGTAGCTTATAAACAACAGAAATCTATTTCTCACACTTCTGGGGGCTAGAAAGTGCAAGATCAAGGCACCAACGGATTTATTACCCAGTGGGAGCACTCTTCCTCATAGATCACACCGTCCACATCCTCACGTGGCAGAAGGGCTAGCTAGCTCTCTGTGTTCTCTTTATAAGAGCACTAGTTCCATTCAAGAGGGTTCTAGCCTCATGACCTAGTCTCCCAAAAGGCCCCACTTCTGAATACCATCACCATGGAGTCAGGATTTCAACATATGAATTTTGGGGGGACACAAACATTAAGGCCATAGCAGCTGTGGTTTGCTGTAGAATGCAAAAATCCTTCCAAGCTCATGCCACTGCTCCCATCCCCCAGAAGTTTTTTTCCCTAAAGACACAGCTTTAATTTAAATAGGTAATCTGTGCTGCATTCACCAACCCAATACTTTCTGAATTTTTCCTATATGGACAGTATTGGGTTAGATGTGACAGAGGAAGGCAAGGTGAATTAGAAAAGAAAAGTCCTCCAAAAGGCATACTGGAGCAGGCTGGTTCCTAAACTTTGGCTTAGTGTGACTCTTCTTACAGCATAAGAGTTTTCCGTACCCTGATATGTCAAGACAGACAATGCCTGGCTGTGCATGGATTTGCTGTTCCTATAGAATAACTCCTCCAGGACTCCAAGGCCAGTATGTGGACCACTATGTGTTTTTGAGGTTGGGTGGTACTTCTGAAAAACCTCCACCATCTAGGAAGTATTCAGGGGAAAACCTTACTTTGCAGGTACCTTGTTATTAATCATGGTAAGTGGTAAAGAAGAAGTGGGTGAACAAGAGAAAGCATTCAAGAAACAACAGCTGAGGGGAAAAAATACCACACCAAATCCTACAGCTGCTATTTGAGAACAAAATCTAGCAGCACTTTGGGAGGCCAAGGTGGTGGATCATCTGAGGTCAGGAGTTCGAGACTAGCCTGGCCAACGTGGCAAAACTTTGTCTCTACTAAAAATACCAAAATTAGCCAGGCATGGTGGTGTGCGCCTGTAGTCCCAGCTACTTGGGAGGCTGAGGCACAAGAATCGCTTGAACCCAGGAGGGGGAGGTTGCGTGAGCAGAGATGGCTTCACTGCACTCCAGCCTGGATGACAGAGTGAGACTCTGTCTTAAAAAAAAAAAAAAAAAAAAAAAAAGAACAAAATCTGGGTCTCCAGGATGATAGGTGAAATGGCTAAAAGGTAGGCAGGTAGAGAACCAGAGAAGTGAGAGAAGCAAAAAGGCTGAGTACAAGTCTCCGAAAACAATCAAAAGAAGGCTGGGTGCGGTGGCTCACGCCTGTAATCCCAGCACTTTGGGAGGCCAAGGCGGGCGGATCACGAGGTCAGGAGATTGAGACCATCCTGGCTAACACGGTGAAACTCTGTCTCTAATAAAAAATACAACAAAAATTAGCCGGGCGTGGTGGTGTGTGCCTGTAGTCCCAGCTACTCGGGAGGCTGATGCAGGAGAATGGTGTGAACTCGGGAGATGGAGCTTGTACTGAGCCAAGATCACACCACTGCACTTCGGCCTGGGCGACAGAGTGAGACTCTGTCTCAGAAAAAAAAAAAAAAAAAAAATCAAAAGAAGACAGTGTCTTGCTAACAGGAAAGCAATCCTTTGGAGCTAGGCTCCAGGTCTGGATTCTGGCCATATTCTTTTACTAACCAAGCCTCAGAGTCTTCTTCTGTTAAACGGGACTAATGTTGTCCATCTGAGGATTAAACAAGAGGGCAAGCCCTGAAGACAGGATGGTCTTCCCTTCTGTTTCCATCCTATTGGAAGAGCATTGAAGGAATCCTACCCCTCAAATGCTTACATGGGGGCTTATAAAATGTCTAGGCTCTCAGTTTATCTGCCTAACAGGACTGCATGGGGGTATCAGATTTCATAAGTCTACACTGCAAAACCACCACAGCTATGTAGAGTCTCCAGGTGTCTCCAGTCTCTAACTTGCAACCTCTCTAATACTTCTCTTGTTTTCTGCTGTTCATAAAAAATGCAGAGACTTCTGCAGGTGCAGCCAATGGCCGTCTTGTGTTTAACGGAGGTTCTGGCCTGATGCTTTGGGGGGCATGGTAATGAGTTGCTTATGGTTAACCTCTGCCCTGCTAACAGGTTCTAGGAACTCTGGTCCTTTTCTCTTCTGCCACCCCTTCCCATCCCCTCCTTCCCCTTTGTATTTGCCTCTGGCTACCTTAATATCAATCATTCCTGCTCCCTACCATATCTCCATTTTCTACCTGACTTCTTTTCCTTCTCTCTCCTTTTAAGGGGTTACTGCTTTTCACACTCCCATGCCCACCGCATTTCCACCGTTTTCTCCTTTGCCCCTGACTTACTTTATACTACACTATTTTTGTATACAGTAAGAATTTTGGTTAGGGACCAGTAAGTCTCCATCTTGAAAAGAGAATAGAAATCTACTTACATTTCATTGTGATCATGATAGTTGCAGCTAACATTTGATGAGTACCCTCCCTTAACCCCTGCTATGAGACAAGCACTATTACTATTCCTGTTTTCAGATGAGATTAAGAGACTTGAGCAAGGTTGCACAGTTATTAATTGGAGGTTTATGACTTTCCCTCATTTTGTACATCAGGAAGGAGGAAAAGGTGGTGCCACGTTATTGTTCTCTTTCCTTATTTATTCCTCATACAGCTGGGTATCTCAGGGAGCATTTGTATGTACTATAAACAAAATTTTGGGGGACCAGGGGAACTTTCATCTCTTCAATCCTACAAAAAAAAAAATCAGATCTTAGATCAAATGGCAGGAATTTGAAGAACAACTGTTGTTTCTCTTCCATGGACCATCTCAGTGTCCTGTTCCCCACTGCCTCCTGAGGATATTCTATGAGTTCCATGTTCCTAGGCAGATCCTTGTCAGCCATATTTGAAACGTATCCCAACTATAAACTCCCCATATTTTCCACCCGTTTCTCAAAGTTGTGGGCAAGCAGCTCTTTGAAAAGGAATTCATACACTAATTAAACTGAAGATTTAACCAAAGGAATTTTAGGTTGACATAACTAATGCTTAGTATGCTTTTGCTTTAGAGGACAACCTCAAATAAACTCAGAATGGAGAGAGAGCATAGCTCAATGATGTCACCCTGATCTCTCTCTCTCTCTCTTTTTCTTTTTTAGATGGAGTCTCGCTCTGTTGCCCAGGCTGGAGTGCAGTGGCGTGATCTTGGCTCACTGCAACCTCCACCTCTCAGGTTTAAGCAATTCTCTCACCTCAGCCTCCTGAGTAGCTGGGATTACAGGCACGTGCCACCATGCCCAGCTAATTTTTCTATTTTCAGTAGACACGGGGTTTCATCATGTTGGCCAGGCTGGTCTCGAACTTCCGGCCTCAAGTGATCTGGCCCACCTTGGCCTCCTAAAGTGCTGGGTTTACAGGCGTGAGCCACCGCGCCCGGCCAATGTCACCCTGATCTCTTATTTTGATTACTATAGTAGAACCCTAGTTGGTTTCCCTTCTTCTGCCCTTGTCTCCTACAGTGTACTCGGAACAGCATAAAGAGATTTTGTTTCTCCTATTCTCAGTTCCTGGAAATGGCATTCATGTTATTAAGAGGAAAAGCCAAAGCCTCCCAATAGCTTCAGTGGATCTCAAGTGTGATCCCTGGACCAGTGGCACTGGCATCACTTGGACCCTTGTTAGGAATGCAAACTTCTGAATCAGAAACTGTAAGGGTAGTGCCCAGAGATCTGTGTTTTAATAAGACTTCCAAGTGATTCTTATGCTGCTGAAGTCAAACAGCCACTGTCCTGCATGAACTGCCCCAGGCTTTTACCTGAGTTCCTTTTCTCCTGCTCACCTTGCTGTCTTCATTCCATCCACACTAGTCTTCCCCAAGGAAATCTGTGTGTCGCACTCCCTCACCTTTTCTAGGTCTTGTTCAAATGTCAACTTCTTAGCAATGTGTTTGTGGCCATCATTGCCTTTCAAACCAAAACTACTCTGGACTCCCTATTCCTCTTTCTTTCTTAATTTTTCTCCATAGCACTTATTATCATCTCATGCACTAGATACTTTTCTCATTGATATTTTAATTATCTGTCTCCATCAACTAGAAGGTAAGCTCCTTGAGGGGCAGGGATTTTATTATTCAGTGATGTATCCTGTGCAACTACCAAGGTATCTGGAATAAAGTATGGGCTCATTAAATATTTCCTGAATGTTGAGAGAAGGAATGATTACATTCTGCCTCTTAGAAGCCATTTGACCTGTGCAAGGTACTTAATCGCTTTGAGCCTCAGTTTCCTCACCAATAAAAAGAGAATGAAGATGAAAAGCAGACACAGTGCACAGATCATTTAGCCATTAGATTAACAGTAGCAATTGTGACCCTCAAAATAGGAAAAAACCATTTCAATATCATTAGAACCAAATGAGGAATAATGGTTTGAACTTTTAAAAGCATTTTTAGAATGTGGAGAACATTTTTGGGAGTTGGGGGTGTACTAAAGATACATTTCCCTTTCTGAGAACAGGTTGGTGAAAAAAAGAGTAATTTTCCTATGCTGAAATTATTTTCCCAAAAGGCAGCAATTTGATGAATTAAGAACAAAGGAATTATAAACATACAATCTAATTATCCTTCAAAACAAAATACATATTGAATAGGAAACACATTGAAAACTTAGGTTTGTTTGTGGATGTTTTTTCCAAAATATTGCAATAAAATGTTTGGGAACATCTAATAAAACTAATATGCAGCTGGATTTTCCTGCCCTAAAACTAATTTGTGCTGATTACAAGATAGGTCACAAGGTCTGCAGGCTTTATTTTTGATGCATTCATTATAATTGTTACTATGGACGAAGACTAAACACAAAAAATAAAACATCCTGTTGGGGAATGATCTACCCAACACACACCACATGTTTTCTCTTGTATCATTAGTCTAAAGGGGATTTCCACAAAAACTGAGATTCTTAGAAACTAAGCTTTTACTCGTCATTGCTGCATATTCCCACTTAGTCACTGTCCTGGGACCTCCCAGTTGCTCTCTGATGAAATAAATCTGAGGTTGTACACTAAAAAAATAACTGTAGCTATGAATTAGCTATTTGGAGAACAAAACCCTCTTTTTGTACTGTTATGTTTAACAGTATAATATCATGATCAACAGCTTAACAATTTCTTAACATGACTGCATTCCATATAGGTTCTATATGACCAAGACTTTTGTAGAGTACCCATCCGGAGCATTTAAAACTAGGAGATGTTACAGGTCCTAGCCCACACTTCACTGCTATGAATGAACAAGGTCAAAAGAGAAACTCTGCCCACTGCATGGGTAAATGGCAGTTGTCACAACACATACCTTCACACCTACCACTATCTCCCCTGTGTAAATAACCCTTTTGGTCCTAAGCAACAGTAGTGTGTCCAAGTAATATTGTAAATGGGAAAGTTCTCTCTCAGAGGAGAGCTATGGATGAGACTCAAAGGAAAGGTTACCAGGTCAGCAGCGGCTAAGTGCTGCCAACAACCACCTTAGGAAACAGCATTGTTGTTTGCTTTTGTAGGTGACCTGGCTCAGACAGAACCTACCATTTCACTCCCCTTGAAGAACCCAAAGTTCTTTCCACAGGAGAAACTGCTTTCAGGAAGAATCTGATGTCAATCATTTCTGTTTGGAGGTGAACTAAATCAGCATGTTCATACTCTCTTAAAAAAGGCTCTGCATTCTAAACCTCATTTCTCTTTAAATAACAATAGACATTATACTGTTAAATAAATCTTCAGGAAATCTATCAAGGGAAGATAATGAGAGGAATTTTTAAAAAGCACTTTAAAAAATAACCACAAGGGTAAATGCTTGCTTTTCCTATATTCAGGAGCTTCAGTTTTTACCTTGTAAGGCCAATCCTGTTTGTTTACTCTGTAAAGTCGAGTCCTTAAGAAAATATCAGTTCTTAAAAAACACCAATGGGAACTGTCTGTGGCTCAGCTTTAATCAAAAGTTTGGCTGTGAGAAATATTTAAAATCATCCAAGGACTATGAGACCTACCTGCTTCTCAGGATTTATAAATTTCATGATGTGAATTTCTCCAGCTCTTATAAAAGTCCTGATGGATTGGCAGCAAGTTACTTTCATGGATCACTCAGAATCACTTTTATTGAGTTACACTTTTGTATTAGGTTCTCAGTTTCTAGTTAGTGGGCCCTAAAAGAAGCTATCTTACCAAATCCTTTAGTCTATCTACTTGAATAGCACTGACTGTTAGCATATCACCCGGTGTCCTCCTGCTGAAGTTCTACGTGAGAAATTTACATCACAATTAAGTGCCAGGGAAAGCTTCCTTCCCTTGAGGAACTGGTATGTATTTTCTCATGGGTAATGAGAACCACATGATTAATCATACGTTTCTCTTTTTCCTTTGGCTGCCAGGAAACTCAGAATCAAACTTATATCTCAATGTTATTAACTATGTAGAACCATATGGTAGAACCTTTGTTCAATTCTTTTTCTCTGATTTTTACCTTTCTACTTTAATTTATGTATTTCCTAATTCTCATTTTTTACTTGTTTATATTTTCTATCTTACTGTATGTATTCTTATAAGCCACCAATCTTTATAAAAATGGAGGTTTATACATGTGTATGTACCTCTATGTGTATAGGTACATATATAAACACATACATACATATCGAGCTTACATATGGGTGTGTGTGTATATACATATATATACACATATATAGCCAGCTTACATATGGTATGTGTGTGTATATATACATACATACATATATATATGTGTATATGTATACTGGGTAACTAGAAAGACTATAATTTTAGTAGTCTATTTTCATGAGAAAGAACTAAAACAATATTGGTTGTAATGGATTAGTCATTGTGGAGAATTATTTTAAATAAATTTCTGTGGGCTATCGAAGAATATATAGAAATAGCCATGCTTAATGGTACTTTCTGTAACATTTTTGTATAATATAAGTAAGTATTTAGAGTTCTTGAAATCTAATTTTCTAAATGGCCTTGTTCTTAAAAATTTCAGACAGGTGTCAATTTTTAAAAATTCAATATGCTTATTACTCATACTCTAGTGAAACTGGTATAGATCTGCTGGAATATCATAAAATTATACTTAGAAGATCTGTCAGGTACCTCATGAGATAACGCATAAGCAAGTGTTTTGTAAAACTCTAGAGTGTAATTGTTAGCTATCACTGCTATTGCCTAAAACACATAAAATATGATCCAGAGATGAATTGTATCTTACTGGTAAGCATGGTAATTACTGTGGAAATGCGGAAAACAACTGTTGAAACAAGTTAAAAAAATTTTTTTTAATGTCATCCTCAGTTGATTTGCTCCTTGAGAGGACCTGGCCAGCTCATGGATGAGTTTTTTGTAAGTTCCAGAAACTTTTACTGGGACTCTCAAAAATACGGATATACTCACAAACCCTCAGATATTTGAAAACTCTTTCATCTCATGAGTATAAAACATTATCTAATTTTAAAATATTCTGCATAACAAACAGAAGTAAAAATCTCAGAGATGAGAAGCTTTCTCAGTGAAGGTATTGGCCTGTTTGTTACTTTCTTTCTGTTTATTAAATACAACTTAGCTATTCACTAATAATCCAGGAAGCACAGAACTAAGACATTAACCAGCTTGTGTTCCAAACTAAAAGGAGGTTAAAAACAGAGCATTGTAATACAAACAGCTTATAAGTACAGCGTGTGTACCTACTGTTCAGCCATTTAAACTTTGAGTCGCTGTACAAACAAGTCTATCTTGAGGAAACAGACTGGGTAATTTTCCATTTGGACTGTTTGAGATTTCACCAAGAGCCTCAAACTTGCAGAAGTCTGTGTTGCCAGACATTTTCCTCAAATTTGTTATCTACAGTTCTTCCCATTAAGATTTCCCTTTAACAAAAATGCTTTTCATAAAGTTTGTGCTTTAAGTGAAAGCTTTTCTTCTACAGACATTGAGATTAAATTAAAAAGAAAAATTAAAGAGGTAGTGGCCTCATTTTGGAAACATAAGTTAAAGCTCTCTTCTGTATAGCCTAAGACAGACCCAGATCAAGATTTCAAACACTTGAGTCTTCAAAGTTCAGAAGAGAGTTCAAAAGATTGAAAAGGAAGGTAAAATTCTAATCAATAAAAAGATCAAGATGCAAAATTGCTGGAATGGCACTAAATGCCAACAGTGATTTGAGGGATCTTTAGAGCCTCTTGATACCGGATGGGAATCTGTCAAGGAAGGAAAAATTCAGCACTTAGAATGTAACTAGAGAAGATCATCTTCTTTTTAGCTTCTATAAACTCACTGGAACACTCATGAACAACTGTCAAGCAATGGAAAAGAGCTCTAGTATACAATTATTTTAGAAATGCATGAAAGTACATTTCATAAGTTCAGGTCTCAAAAATTTCAAAATAACTACTCTACAAACACAAGTGAGCAGTATGTTAGGATGACTATTACTCGGAAGGAAATAAATAGGATCTTATTTTCCAAGTTAACGCAGTCACTTTGAAACACCGGGACGTTTCTCCCAGCGTGTTGTAAGTTATCAATAAGTAAAATAAAGTCCAGTTCAATGAAGATGGGCAATGAAGTATAAAAATCTTTTTAAGTTGTTTCTACTTTTTGAGTACTGGCTATATGCTGAGGACCCTGCTAAACACCTTGTAGGCATGGTCTCATTTAAGACTCTCAACAGCCATGAGGTAGGTAGTATTATTATCTCCAATTTACGGAAGTAAACCAAGGCTCAGAGAGAAACAGTTATTTATCCAAAATCATAGTCAATGAATAGCTGAGCCAGGAATAGAAGCCTGTTTTCTGGGTTCCTGATTTAATGCATTTTCTACCAACATTCTGACTGGCTGAACTACAGAATTGGGTTAAAGCAAGCTCTGGTGACAGTGAGTCCATGGCCAAAGGTGAACTGATCGTTTCTTTGTCTTATGCTGCAAGGATTATCTAAAAGGGTAGTACGTTAGTCCATTTTCACACTGCTATAGAGAATACCACCAAGAACTGGGTAACTTATTTTATTTATTTTTTTAAAAAAAGAGGTATACTTGAGTCACAGTTCTGCATGGCTGGGGAGGCCTCAGGAAACTTACAATCCTGGTTGAAGGGGAAGCAGACACATCTTACACGGTGGCAGGCAAGAGAGAGCGTGTGTGAGCACAGGAAAATACCATTTATAAAACCATCAGATCTCTTGAGAATTCACTCACTATTATGGGAACAACGTGGGGGAAACTGCCCCCATAATCCAATCACTTCCCTCCCTTGACACATGGGAATTACAGCTCCCTCCTCCCTCGACATGTGGGGATTACAATTCGAGATGAGATTTGGGTGGGGACACAGAGCCAAACCGTATCAGTTATACAAAAGCATGAATGCCTTACCTCCATCCCCTCATTACCTTGCAAAGGCCATACCACACTACTTGGCGATTATCCAAGCTCATCATAAACTTTCAGACCACACTATGCCTTTGGGGGTGCTTTTTTATTTTTTTGGAACCTCTTTCTCTATCCTCCTTACCCTTCTCTGCTGGTTGAAATCTAACTTTCCGCTTCCTGTCCCTAAAGTCTGAATTAAAGCATTCTCTTTTCCACATTCTCAGAGCACTTTGTTTCACAGTTAGAGCACTTAGCATATTTACCCTGCATTGTTATTAGGTGCAAACCTGCCTATCACCTGCATAAAAAAGTATGGCTCTTAAAGGACTGCATCCAAAACATGTTGCTATAGCCATGTGTCTTCAACAGCACCCTGAACACAGCAGACACTCAATAAATGTTTCATGTAGAGTTAAAATAGGAAACTCAGGTACTACTACCGCAACATTTATATCAAAGAAAGGACTATTCTCAAAGGAAGTAGGGAGTATTTTTGCTCACTCTTCTTTTTGAAAGGACTTTTCAGACAGCCCATCACCATTCCAAGGAAGGTAATGGGGCTATTTTTCTGTTTAGGAACCAGTGGTTTAAGTAATGTAAGCTATGGGTCAGTGGTTTGCAATGATGGGGCTGATCGAAAGACAATCACACTCAGCCCTGCTAAGGTTAATGGCACTGCCTCTTATAGAGGAAATACAAAAGTGGAAGATAGGGAAGAAACCAATAAAAACATTTACACACACCTTTAATGGTATGCAGAGTAGAACCCACTTAAATGAATACTAACTAATGAAAACATCTTGAAAAGAGAGTGATTTTTAGAGAAACCTTTTATCTACAGGTCCTATATTTATAGAGCAAACCTTTTAAATAAATACAGGGTAAAAAATGAATTAAACTGGTAATTGTTGTGACTCATTGTGGTTCATATAACTTTCATTAGGCCAGTGGAATAAATGAACGATTTAACAAAAGGAAGCTCTTCTCCACCAGTTTATGCCATGTACTTCACATTATAAGTAAGAACCTCCTCTGTAGGTACCACAGACCAAAAAAATTGTCTTAGCAAGGCTGGACTTTACCCATTCTGCCGTACTTCTAGCTGGCACAGTCGAAGACTTTTCTAAGAGGAGGTGAAAGAATTCAGTTCAACCAGAAAAATGCATGAAAAGAGAAACATATTTGTCTTAGCCCTCCCAATATATATGAGAGGTTTTCTTTCTATGAAACTTATTATTTTTTTCTTTTTTAAAATGAACTTTGATGTCTTAAAGTTACAGGTGGGTAAGGACTATGACGAGGGGGTAGAAATCGAGGCTCAAAAGCAGAGATAAGAGTTGGAATCACAAGGTACTCAAAACTTTTTCTAAAATCTTAGAAGTTGTTTGTCAGGGATTTAAATCTTATGCTTGACAGATATTTTAGACCAGTGGCTTAAGAAAAAGGACACTAATATTTCCTCTTAAGATCACCAAATACAAAGAAGAAATTACTTGGGACAACTGTGTTCCTACAGCCCTCAGCAACTAATGAAATGTATCTATTTACTAAAACATCTTTGTGGTTTAAGCCTATTTTGTCTCTGAGCTGATTGTCTCCAAAAAAGAAAAGCCTAAGTAAAAGCCAATTCAAAGTGATCTGAATGTCAATGGGGAGAACATACTCAATGCAAATAAGAAAAAAGCCTGGAGATTCAAGGGAGTTTAAGAATAAATAAACGAGTCAATCTGAAGTCAAATACTGATAGGTTAACAGAGTCAAAAGATTTCTTAAGTGTATTCTGGATCAACTGGAGCATCATTTATTCAGTGTTGTATTTATTTGTTTTGGCTCTTTGAGGTAATTTTGGATGCTTATACTTTTAAAGATTATGTTTGAAAATCTTAGAATGCCAGATCAGTTCAGAATAGAGGGTGAAAGTGATACCACGGTAAACACAGAAAGACACCTTTCAGTACCCTGCAGTACTCTGCAGTCATGGGGGTGCACTGGTGTGCTGAATGTAAAGAATGTTCCCCCTAAGAGAGGAGTGTGCATTTCTTATGCAACAGCTTTGTTACCATATTCAACCTGAAAATGAGTACTGCTGGGCTGAAAAGAAAATATGCAATATAGCCACTGGTTTCTCAGCATTGTCCAGGGGACCTGGGATGGAAATGAAGGAATTCCTAATGACTCAAAATTATTACAATAGCTCATTTTACATATGGCTTGATTGTTCATAAAGTGCTTTCAGATACATCATATCATTAAATCCTTACTAAATCCTTGGGAGCAAAGAAGGGCAAGAAGCATTCGTGACTATTTTACAGACGAGGAAACTGAGGCACGGGAGGTCAGGTACCTTCCTAAGGCCAGTTACAATTAGTAAGTGTTTCTGTTCTTAAAGCGTTTCACAGCCAGGTGAGCGGTGGAGTCAAGGTAGGGTCTCCCTTTCTCTCCCACCCTTGCACTTGCCAAGCTCCAATTAGACGACCACACTCTTCCTTTCAACAAAGTTCTGCCCGAAAGAATTATCCAATGTACCACTTCGAACTTTACCCATGTTCTGAACCCAGTAAGATGATGAAAAAGACTGAGCAAGAGAGACACCATGTCTTTTATGTCTGCTAGGAAATATGAGGTGGACATTGCCTTTCTTTTCATACAGGTTCTTGCTTCAACTCTAACCCGGAGCCCACTCCTAGTTTACTCTGGCCTCCCTTTGCTGAATCTCTCTCAGCACAAAGATCTCTTCATGTCAGTCAGCTTTGCCATGGAATGAGTATTTCTCTCACACTTTGACTAGTTACAGCCACCTCTGCCTCGTATACAATTTTCTGTCAGAGTGCTGCACTTAGGACAGCTGATGGCTATGCGCATATGAGGATGGTGGTGGTGACGTAGACGGAAGACCCAGATGTGGAGCCTGAAATCCTGCTACTCCTAGCCAAGGCAAACCTTTCTCCCTCACTGGCAGCAAACATTTCACACCCTGCTCGAAACCATCTTGCTGTGTCTGCAGCCAGGGGGCCTCCAGGTACCAGAGTACCCACCCCAACATAGCAAGGAAAACTACAAGCTGCTTGACTGGACACTTAAGTACTGAATATCGAGTACTGAATATCGAGATAGACTGGGAATGACATGCTCTATACAGAAGTCCACTGAATACGGACAGCACTGTTCACCATCTTACCAGCGACAGACTCAGAGAGAGCTCACACTGCACACACTGCACCAGACAACAGGGATATAGCGAAGCATAAGAAATGCATTTAGTTCTGCATTTATAGTAAATATTTATTGAACATGTACTATGGGATAGGCACTGTGCTAAAGAGAAAACAGTGAGTAAAAAAGAAAAACAATCCTTGCTTTCATGGAGTTCGCAATCCACTTAATGTCTGCCTTTAAAGGCATTATTCAGAAAATCACACACATAAATGTAATATGAAAACTGTGTTAAACTGATTCAAAATCCTACACAAATGACTTTCCAATAACCTTTACAACTTATTGGCAAATGAAAAGAATGATTTCAATCGCCTTTCAAGTAACTTTTTTTTTGGTGAAACAGCAAGTGTAAGAAAAGCAGAGTAGAAATGTAGGAGAAAGAAAGCTGGACAAGGAACCGAACATCAAGGCTCTCAGTTCTACAATGAATCTGCTATTGGATGCATGAAACTTTACTTTTCTGTGCTTCATCACTCTTGTGACTAATGCCTGGAGCAGTATCTGCCATACAGCAGATGTTTAATAAATAAATATTGGTTGAATGAGTGAATATAATATGGGAAGATTTCATGTGAAGATTTTTGTAGTTCAATGTAAGCATTAAGAAATTGGAGATGAGAAGAGTCAAGTAACAAAGATGCATGTACTGTGCTTACACACCTGCAAATCAAACTTCTCTAGTAAACTGTGTCAAAGTGACCAAGTGGTCAGCAGGAAAATGTGGGAATCTGACCACTGGTCATACTTTTTCACTGCATCCCTCAGGCTTGGATTGTATTATAATTTAAACTCAACAAATGGACTTTTTCTGATTCCAACTCAGTAGGCTAGTACCCTGGCTAGCAACTTCACTGGTGCCACTCTAAGCCTTCTCTTCAATATTTACAGAATAAAAAGCAATTTTGGTTTGAGCTTTGAGCACATTAGATTTTGACAGCTTGGAAATGTCATTCTCAAAGCAAGGACTTCTCACATGCATAGAATTCTGGCTCTTAACTATTCTATAAATGCAAATGCAAATATCCTTGACCAGAAAACCTTGAGCATCATGTTCTAAGAATGTTAGTGAGATTACATGAAGTTCTTTTTAACTGTATTAGTTTCCATCCAACATCTACTAAATTGAATTAGAGTAAAGTGGGGAAGGCCTAGGTTCGAAAGGTGGATGCCAAAGAAGTCACATTTTAATTTCATCTCCATCTCTCATTTATGGATGCTTTCTAGCTGTCAGCCAGTCAGTCAGCAAGCTTCATTCCAAGGGAAACACGCTGGGTGACTGGCCATCCAAGAATTCAACATGATATGACTGGCGTATTTGAAACTGTTCAGAAACACTATGTCTTAGCCAAGCTGCAGCTTTACATGCTGGGTCCTTTCTGCCCCTAGGCCTTTACCCATAATGTTCCTTTTGTTTAACAAGGACTTTGCATCTTCCCTCTCATACACACAGAAACTGCAAATTCCATCTATCATTTTGTCAAGAGTGCCAGAATCCATTGATTGGGAAATATCTTGATGGCACATTTCTTATTTACAAAGGAGATTCCCAAGAACATAAATTTGCAAGGCTCAAGGAAAACTAAAGAAGAACAAGGAGAGGCTCAGAGAAGAGAGGGAGGGAGGAAGAGAGGGCAATGGTAACATGGCAGAGTGACCTAAGTGCTCTTAAAAACAGAGTTGTTTAAAATCAATGTGATGCGGTTAGTATGTTCTGAGACTTTACTGAAGTGCCCAAACTCGCCCTCCTACAACTTCACCAAAGCCAGCTGTACACATAATTTCTACAGGTAGATCAGACAGAAATACAGAGAAGGTGCTCAACCCAACATACGGGCACAGGACATGGAAAAGAGCATTGCACGACTTGGGGGAAGATCTATAAAGTAAACTAACTCAGCAGGTGCAGGAACTGACAGCTAGAAGAAAACTTTTGCTGTAAGCATCCCCAGAAATGCACAGAAATACTGGGATAGGCTTTAGATTTCCTCAGGTTGTGGAATGGGGGGTTTGAGCTAATTTTAAGGAGCAAGAAAGCTCTAAGTAACATCTAGGAACATGTATACACTTCAGCATTTAGGTCAAATACCTAACAAGCTCTTCTCTGAACACTTCTAACTTTACTTTTGTTGCTTCTTGCATAGCCTTTATCACTTGTGCCTCCACCATATGCCCCAAACACCATCCAAATAACTTTAGGAGATCACAATCACATTTTATGCAACTATCTGCCTAAATATCTGTATCCTTTGCTAGAATATGTACTCAAGGAGTATGGGGTTGGTTTCTCTTTTATGTGGATATGCCCACTGCCTGGCACAGGGATTATATATTAATAAATATATGTACAATTAAGAAAGATCAATTGGAAGGAGGGGAATAACTTATGATTATGTATTATTTTCCCCTGAAAAGACTTAAACTCCTGAACACAAGATTCATTCATTTACCCATTCATTCATTCACCCTAAAATATTTACTGAGTGCCATTTTGTTTGGAATATAATACACTACTTTCTGCCCTCAGGGAGCACATAGTCTAGAATAGTGGTCTCCTTAAAACACAAATTTGCGGTGTCCAAAGAAATCACTGGAGCTTCCATTTATACTGTAGCTTTTAAAAATAAGTCGTCTTTGAAAAACGATAAGTTTATTTCTAATAATGCATTCTCCCTCACTTGGTACCAATGTCAGGTGGTCATGTGTCACCCATGGTCTGCGAGGTATCCTGAGGAAAATGTGGAATTCTGCAGACTCTCTCTCACTGGCTTCGCTTTCAGTATACTGTGACATTTACTATTTTCATTGACTGGTGTTCAGTCAAAGTCCTAATAGATTATAAGGACTACAGATTACACATTGTAATATAATACATATTTACTCAATAATGTAATACATAATGCATGTAACACTATAATACATATATTATGTAGTATATCATATGACATTATGTCACCATACTTACATGTCATATGCCATTGTTATTCCCTGACCTCAAGTCTATACTTTCCCTGGGGTAAGGGGACAGAATAGTCAATACATTGAAAACCTAACAATACAAATTATTTGAGATTATAGCTGCTGAGTACAAAACATTTCAAAGCACACCACTATCCGTTATCCCTGTTTATTCTCAAAGCTCTCCCAAGAAAGATGAAGCAGGCACTCACTTGCTATTGATCATGAACATGTGCCTCAACTTCCAAGCCTCAGTTTCCTTGTCCTCTATATCTTAGAATTATTACATCAAATTAACATATTCAAACAATCTAAAGTTTACAGTACATAGTATTATTTGACCACAGTCAATTTTTGTGCCTCTCTTATGAATGCACAGAAAAAAATCCACAGAGATCAGAGTCCAAAACTCAAATGTTCTACACACTTACATGTGATTGGGCTATGAAACTTTGTTAGAATCTTTTGTTTCAAAGTTATGCTTTCCTAGTCAATTTACATACAGAAGTACCACCTGAGTCTCCTACTCTGAGTTGCTTTCCACATCGGCCTCACTATCAATTCTGCTCAGATAGAACTGAATTCAACAATATCTGCTGAAAGAACACCGGAAAGGGGTACAATGGAGATGACGGGCAGCACCTGCAACAACCAGTCTTGACTGGCTATTCCTAGCACCTGCTTTTCTCTTCTTTCTTCGTCTTTCCTAAGATAAAGTTAAAGGCTATTAACCAGTGGTCTACAGCACAGGCTTCTGTATCTTCTTACCATTAAGGACAACTTGTAATCATTTCCTCTCATAAGGCCAGCTTCTCAAAGTATTTAATTTACCATCTTTGCTAAATAATAGATAATTCATCATTCCCCTACCTTTCATTAAATGAATCCAAACTATAACTGCCAGAGTCTCTGTAAGTATAAGAGAACCCATGAGTTCACAAGCATAAAGTCAAAAGCAAAAATCTTCAGCCAGTGCAGCTTTATATAAGGGGAAAAAATGCATAATTTAAGATTTTTCCTCTGGCTCCCTTCAAGGACCACCAGTTGGTAACTACTGGTGGAGCACGTGCTAAGGTTTACTTGCATGCCTTTCATGATATTGTGTTGCAAATCCACTAGAATTGAAAGGACATAGACGTTCTGCACTGCTACTTTTAGAACTGGCTCAAGCTCGGACAACAAGGTGCTTCATTTTCCTTCTTTCTATTGTTTAGGATCCTACTGAAGAGTTCAAAGCTGTAACAATGCATTAAACTGAAAAGCTTTCAGTGTGGGTAGCATTTGTAATTTTAAAAGAAGATAAACCTCTCTATGGAGTTAACATGATCTGTGAATGTGGGACCTGCTAGGAATCAGATATCCTAATGAACTTTGTCTTGCTCACTTGAAATGGAGAATTAACCAATTCTTTTAAATAATTCAGAAATCTAAAATGAAAGGAATGGGGCACAAATTTCTATTGTACTGCACAAAAAATGGGGAATGAAAAGAAACATTTTATGTTTTCAGTAAAACTATACTCCTAAATCTTTTGCAACGGAAACACTTTTAAATTTATTGGCAATCATAATTGTTTTATGCCATCTAACAAACATAATGGCATCTGGTATAAATACCTTGCAACTAACCTCATTTTATAGTCTCCACCTCCAGCAGAAAAATCAAATGAAAACTCAGTCCATTGTTTAAAAATATCTATTAAAGTACCATATACTCATAATACTTGAGACTGTAGAAAAAAAGAACAAAGTGTTCATAAAAAAATAAGAATGTAATTTTTCTATAAAGATGTATATTTTGTCAAAAAAAAAAAAAAAAGAAACTTAAAAAGAAGATGTCCCTGGCACCTAGTTCATGTCTATGAGGCAATGAGGTGGATGAGAGAGAAGGCGAGCTACATTTTATTGAGTATCTATTTATGGATTGTTGCAAGTGCTCAGCACTTTCCACATATCTACATCCAGACATATAATCCACACAGAAACAGTCCTGTTAGTTCTGAGGATGTAGTTAAGCCTGTGGGTGCCTGAACAAGGCTGAGGCAGATACCTGGGAAGATGAGATAAGAAATAAAGGAAGAGATGACAATCCTAGATGAGAGCAAAACAAGAGGAAGGAAAAGGAACTAACGTTGTTTGTGCTCAGAACAAAACAGCAACGAAAACACATTTCCTGGGAAGGTGATGACATCGCACCTTATACATTAGAAAATAAAAGTTTAAGAGTTTAAATAACTTGTTCAAATTTATACAATCAATACATTATAGAACCAGAGTTTGAATTCCATTCTTTCTCTAATAGAATGCCATGGTTAAGCAGTTAAGACTCTGGACTTAGAGTTGAGTCTGAATACCCTTTATGCCTTCTTGACTGTAGGACAAGCTACTTAAATTCTTTGTGTCTCAGTTTCCTAATCTGTAAAATGGGCACACTAATAGCACCTACCTCCATAGGATTATATTAAGATGATATAAGATCATGAATATAGAACTCAGCACAGTGCATGGCTCTGGTGGCCATGAATAAAAATGGTCCACCCTGACCACCTGTTGCAAGGAACATGGTTGCCTAACAGGGCTGCTCCTCTGAATCCACCACCACATTTGCTTAAAGGCCACACTTCCTCCAGGCTGTTTCCAGCCAATAACTGAGGGGGAGGATACCAACACAGACCCATTCCTATAAAACACAGAATTCTTCCAACAGGGGACTTAAGCTCAGGGACTCTCCATTGGCATGGTCAAAATTTTCTTAGAAGCTTACTCCAGGCGCAGTGGCTCACACCTGTGACCCCAGCACTTTGAGAGGTTGAGGCAGGTGGATCTCTTGAGCCCAGGAGTTTGAACCCAGCCTGGACAACATAGTGAGACCCTCGTCTCTACTAAAAATACAGTAAATTAGCTGGGCTTGGTGGCGTGTGCCTATAGTCTCAGCTATTTGGTAGGCTGAGGTGGGAGCATCACCTGAGCCTGGGAGGTTGAGGCTGCAGTGAGCCATGATCATACCACTGCACTCCAGCCTAGGCAATGGGAGTGAGAGCTCTGGGATTCTTCCAACCCAATCTCTCATTCTTCCCTCCTCCTTTCCCACCTGTCAGAACTGTACTGCAGCCTAAAAGTTCTCTCAATCTACTCTTGCTCTGTCCCCCTTTATATTTGATAGGTATTGCCCCAATAAATCTCTTGTCCTATCAGGACATATTATTCTTGGAGGACCCAAACTAACATACTGGCACACAGAAAGTCCACAATGATTGTGAGCTACTATTATGATTATTATCACCAAAAATCATTATTTTTGTTATTATCTGGCTTTAAGCCTAATAGAGTTTAACCCTATTTCCAAAATTGTTTTCCTTGAATCTGTGAACACTATTCTTTTTTAAAGCAGGAGGATTCAAAGGTTACACTATATTTCTTTAACATGTTCAAACAAGATTTGTCATACCTAGCAAAGTTGTCCCAATTACAGATGAAAACATATACATTTATCATTCCATATTGCACATGAAAAATATGGCCCCTTCTATTTTCAAGTTTATCAGAAATGCCATTTCTCTACTTCACCTTTGGATGTGCGAATTCCAAATGCTCTATTATTTGACTGATTTCCTATTTTCATCATCTTTCGTGAGTAAATGGTCTGCCAGTAACTGGATGTATGGGCTCACACAGTGTCGCAGTGGCTTACTCAATTAATACACGACTAATTAAACTTATACACTCACTTGCATGGGCTGAGTGGCTCTCAACTATTATATTGTACCTATTGACTGTGCCTCACAAGTGGTTTATTGTTCCAAGAAAACTACTGGGCTAGGTACCAGCAGATGCGGAAGGAATGGAATTTAAGCAGCCAAGTCACTAGAACTTTGTAGTACTCTTCCCAGATTTCATTTTCAGTGGGTTAAATTCCAGTGGTTTGACCTTTTGTGATCAGTGAAATCATCACAGACTAATCAAACCTTTTCATACACTGCTGTTACTATTGCCTATGTAACCTCCACAGGAATATGTGGAGAATTACAACTGGTTGCCAGATAAAATACAAAACTTGGTCTAGACAAACAATGAATACTTTGTTTGTGTAAGTATATTTCACGCAGTACTAAAAAATTATTCACTGTTTATCTGAAACTCAAATTTAACTTGGCATCTTGTTTTTTTTGGGGGGGGTTGGGGACAGTCTTGCTCTGTCACGGGTTTTGCCATGTTGCCCAGGCTGGTCTCAAACTCCTGGCCACAAGTGATCTACCTGCCTTGGCCTCCCAAAGTGCTGGGATTACAGGTGTGAGCCACCATTGTGCTACATCTGGCAACTATTTAGGAACAAAATCCACCTTCATGGTGAATGTATGTGAGACCTGGGGGTTATAATCTAATGGGGTCACGAGAGCAGGGGTAAGCTGAAACTCCACAGATTTCGACCTCCATTTTGAGAAATAATTGTTTACACAATTGGGTATGTGAAACCAAATATTATTCCATGCAAGTAACTTGGCTTTTAGTAATATGCACGAGGGAAAACCTTTGGAGGTACTAAAAGATACTGCCATGACAAATCAGAGTCTCATTCCTTAACAATGCTATGAATGAGGTCTTTGTGTACAACTCCACACTAAACTCTGTCTACTTTGCTTCCCACTGAACACTCATTATCTAGAACAGTGACTATCACAGTGTAGGGGATCAGGACATATCTACTGTACCAAGAAATGAATGGACTCATATGTGCATTCTTCCAGAGTATACCATGGCTTTTCAAGGATGTGCCATATCTTTTCCTTGGCTTACAAGATCCAATATGATTTGCCTTCCTGCTACTCATCTGCAACTATTCTCTCCCTTGTTTGTACCCTTCAAGCCACACCAACCCCCTTAGTGTTCTTCCAGCATGTCTCAGGGCTGTTATATTTAATGTTCCCTCTTCTTAGAATAAAAGTCCCTAATATCTGCATAATTCACTTCTTTGACTTCATTAGGACTTAACTCAAATGTCAACACATCAGAAAGGCCTTCCTTTACCACCCTTTATAAGACAGTACCCACATCCTCCCTTCTTTAATCCCTTATATTGCCTTATTTTCTTTTATAATGTTTGATGCCACTTGGCATGTGACATGTGTATTAATCAGCTGATTGTCTGTCTCCTTCCCCAAGAAGGTAAGCTAAATTAAGAGTAGGATTTTCTGTTTTGCTCAGTGTGATGCCTAGAACATGCCTGGTTCTTAGAGTGTATTTGATAAATACCTGTTGAATGAATGAACGAACAAATGGTGTCTTTTCCCTTTTACTAGACTATCAGGTTCTCAAGAGCAGGATGTCTGCTCTATCTCTGTATTCCCTTAACACATCCAATACCTAGTCCAAATATATCCAGCAATTCTATTTTTTTTTTTTTTTTTGAGACAGAGTCTCGCTCGGTCACCCAGGCTGGAGTGCAGTGGCGCAATCTCTGCTCACTGCAAGCTCTGCCTCCCAGGTTCATGCCATTCTCCTGCCTCAGCCTCCTGAGTAGCTGGGACTACAGGCGCCTGCAACCACACCCGGCTAATTTTTTTTTTTTTTAAGTAGAGACAGGGTTTCACAGTGTTAGCCAGGATGGTCTCAATCCCCTGACCTCGTGATCCGCCTGCCTTGGCCTCCCAAAGTGCTGGGATTACAGGCGTGAGCCATCCTGCCCGGCCTATCCAGCAATTCTTAAGAATGATCTGTTAAATTACTTATGAGAAAATTGAGGTACAAGTCTTTAAGTGACTTGGACAACTGATTTTCCCTTAACAGACGCTCAGTGTCAGGCTTTTAATGGCAAGTCTCTTTTGCTAATTTGACCTATTCGGAAGCTGTGATTTGGCTTCTTCTTGTTCATCTCTGAGTTTACAAGTGCTACTTGCTGAGAAGCTCTCTGGTTGTAAAATACCTACAGAGATCTAAGAAAACACTGACTTTCCTTCGTGGAAAGATTGTTGAAAAGCTATTCCTATTTTGCCGAGCCTTGCCACAATATCCTTACATTTCTCTTTTTGGATATTCACCATATGATGCCTGTGGATAAGCCATATGAGACTCCCTGGTTCCCTTTGGGTTAAAATCAACCAAGTATAGAAATGCACAACTGAGATGGGGCAGAGTAATCTGCAGCAAATAGTGCCCCCTACCCTCCACCCCTATTTGAGATATCCCACTAGATTTCCTTAACGACAAGCTAATGCCAGGGGGAAAAGAGTTGCCTGGAGCTGAGTAAAACCTGAAGAAGAGAAAAAGAATGAGGAAGCTGCAGGGAGAAAAGGTGCCAAAAATCCTTGTGGCCACATGAATTTTTCTAGCAGGCAACTAATCAATCTGGATTAGTGACTCCAAATCCCCAAATACATTATGTATATTACATTCAGTTTACTAATATTATCCACAAATAGGTAATTCCTTCCAAAAAATAATGTACAGGCTTAAAAACAACAAATTCACATTCAAATTTAAAAGCAGAAGTGACCCTATTATTTGTGGCAAGGAAAGCTCATACCCAATTCCTGACCCCAGCTCGCCCCTCTGATCTTTCACCACGCTGGTTTTTAATTGATGGGGAGGTATGAAAAGTGGCCATTAGAAGTGGTCCTTCTAAGGATATCTCTGTCAAAGGGTCCTGTCATACTAGTTCCAGGCTTAGATCACAGGGAAAACAGAGCAATGGCAGATGGAGCTGTAGCCAAACACCAGGTGCACCTTCTACCGCACTGTGATTTGATGACGGCTCCTCATTTGATTTCCTTTTTGAGCCCAATTCAAATACTGCATAAATTGTATTGCTTCATATTTTCATATTTTTAGAATCTAGATCTATGTATATATTTACGCAATTCCAGATACATTCTAAATACACACTTTAAAATGCTTTCCTACTTGGAACGTTACATTCAATAGGCACTTCTGGGTCTCTCCTGGGATAAGAGTCAGAGGCACAAACGAATTTGAGGACCAGCAAGAAATCCCTTTTTTTCTTCTTTCCTGTGTAACTCTTTGTGTGTGAAGGGTTGGAGGTGGGGGGAGTGGGGAGGGGAAGATGTCTGAAACAGACCACCCAGTCAGTCCATTTTAGAACCTGAAAATCAGGGGAATAGGATCTAAAACATTTCCTATTTTGGCTACTAGCCAACTAACCTAAAGTCTGTTCAGCTAGTTATTCTCTGTGTGAAGACAATAAAATACTCATAATGTGTGAGGATAAGACTACTTTAAAATGGCTACAAATCTCCCCCCACACCCCCCATTTTTCAGTTGAAAAGGCGCCTTAAGTACACTGGATCCCGTGGCTTAAGCTCTGCAGCCTCCACTGCGTCATGCACTTGGGGAAGCCCCCAGCCTAGGATGGCACCTCATCTTTCACAGAGAAAGACTCAGGAATTTCCTTTGTCTGGAGGCATTTCTGAGGAGCCTTTGCAAACAATGATGGGTCACACCTGCTAACAATTCTTAAGAAAGCAAAATTCACCTAGTTTCAGAATGAAATTTCAGATGAAACCAAATTCTAGTTCCCTAATCTCTTAAAGAAGAGAGACTAGCTCCATTGCATTGCTGAAAATTCATCAGTCAGAATTTAATTATACAGATCTGGAAACCAGAAGGCATTTAGGTTTTAATGTCTCCCTGAGTTGGGACCTTTACATATTTTAGAATATTGATCATAACTGTTATTGCTGCTATTTTGGTGGTCACTCTACTGTGTCTGTCCCTGCGGGGTTTTTTGAAGGAACACTGCAGAGAAGAACTGTTGCTAGGTAATTGTAAAAGAAAGTCATGCAAATTATGAAATATTGATAAACTGCATTTACAAGTCAATGGTGCTAGAATGCTCCTTCTTTCCCAGTAAAACATAAACTGTAAGGTTGCATTGCCTCCAAATTTTTTTAAATCACCCAACTAAATGACACATTCATCAAAACAGTTCCTAAAACAAGCAGTCCATCCAGCAGTGACCATTTTTGCAGTTTTGAATTATCAATTTTATTTTGCCTTCCCACTATATATAAATATTGCAATATAATATTGTAATATATCTACTATACATGTGAGGAGGTAGTAAAAACAATTTAAAACATTAAACAAGAAGGCCCACAATTTTTAAAGAGAATAATGTCAGATAAAAAAATGTTCATCAAAAAAGAGAAAAAGAAATTTATAGGTTTCTCTTCTCAGCCCCAAATTACAAAGTAAATCCTACACATAAATCTTTTTTTTTTTTTTTTTTTTTTTTTTTGAGACAGAGTCTCGTTCTGTCACCCAGGATGGAGTGCAGTGGTGTGATCTCAGCTCACTGCAACCTCTGCCTTCTGGGTTCATACGATTCTCCTGCCTCAGCCTCCCAAGTGGCTAGGATTACAAGCATCTGCCATCACGCCCGGTTAATTTTTTTTTTTTTTTGGTATTTTTAGTAGAGACCGGGTTTTACCATGTTGGCCAGGCTGGTCTTGAACTCCTGACCTCAAGTGATCCACCCGCCTTGGCCTCCCAAAGTGCTAGGATTACAGGCGTGAGCCACTGTGTCCAGCCCTACACATAAATCTTAAGTCAGGAAGTCAGTTGCACTAAAACTTATTTCGTAAACATTAAAAATTCAATGAGTTAAATAATAATGCATGAAATAGCAACAATTACGGATGAAAAGAAGTACATTCCTTGTTCACCTAGCAACATTTAACAATGATACCTCTTTTAACAATTCAGGATGTGAACGACATAAATGAAGATGGTGAACATGAAAGGTAGATTCAACCAATACTCCACAGGGTAATTTTCAAATTGGCAGGTAGAGCTGGAAATTTTCAAAATCTGGGGCAAGCATCATGATTAATGGGCTTCCACTGATTGCAAAGACCCATCTGAGGGTTGATGCCACCAACATATGTGCAACTACCAGATAAATGAGGAGGAACAAACATGATTAAACCTAAAGGAAATCATCTAAATACCAATTCTGATTTCTTGTTATAAATATCACATTTTAAAAACCACTATGATAAAGTTATTACTAGCAGTCTGTGCAGGTGATGAGAAATGGCAAATAGAAGGGAAAAATAACCAGGTGAAGATAGCATTACTTTCTGGCAAGGGAGCCCCACATTTTCTTTTTTTAGTTAAGGATGCTTTCACGGATAACAGTGAGAGCCAGTGGGGGTGTGTTTTCAGAGTGCCAACGCTGGCCTATACTGTTGCCTCAGACACTGACTCAGTGCAGCCCTACAGAAGTGTGCCTTGAATTAAGTAAGAAGGCTATCACATGAGCTTTATCCTCATTAATGACTGACCTGATACACCACAGAATGCAAGCTTTGGAGGACTGTTCACAGGCCCTGTAAATATCAGGCAGGCATTTTAAATGCTCTGTCCCATAAATATGTTTAAAGTAACCAAAGTATGTCATGGGAGTTCACAAAAGTTGTTTAAATCGATGTTCTAAGTCAAAGTCCAACAAATAAGGCTTAAAACCTTCAGGAGCTCTGGAAAAGCCAGATTCAGTGATATAACAAAGGATTAAATGATACCAATCAGAGCTAGGAACTTTGTCTGAACTGCATTCCCTACGGTAATCAAGCATCATGCATAAACTGAAATGGTGATGTTTCAAACATCTGACCACACCTGCTCATTGAAGTGGGGGTGGGGGCGGGCAGGAAGGGGAGAGGGACAACTTGATGTCCTATTCCCATTAGTACCTAGCCCTCAGCTTTGGCTTCCTAGACCTACTAGTTATATCTGTTAATCTCTGTCCATGTGTCTGAGGACAGCCTTCCCCCACACCCAAATTAGGTTTTCAGCTTCTCCAGAGCGTTTTTGTTTTTTTTGTTTGTTTGTTTTTCTTAAAATCTCTAGGTAAATCAAGAGTGAACAGATACTCCAAAAATATTTGGGAGTAATGACAATATATTCATCTACTTATTAATTTTATTCATTAAGCAAATAAGTACTAGGTACCCATTAAGTTCAAGGCACAGATCTACGGGCTGTGCAGGATTTTTTTTAAAAGGAATTTGTCATAAATCCTACCCTTAATCAGCTTATAGTTTTTAATAAGCCAGATTCTATTTGGTTTGTGCCAAGGAAAAACTCAGCTAAAATTAAAGACATCTAGGAGAAGTCTCTTCTTTCCAGAATCACCTTCTTGAGCACTCATTCTGAAGGTTCCAGCAACTCTGAATCCTTTTTGCAATTCCCTGGTTCTCAAACTCATGGGAGATGAACAGATTGTGAGGATAAAACAAAATGGGAAAACAGACGTGGCACCATGGGGATTGTGGGGATTTGGGAAACCCATGTCTGACATTTCAGAGCAGGGTAAGTACCCACTAAAGATGTCTCTAAAAGTCTTGGTATATTTCTGACGCCATCCCCTTCCACTCCAAGGCTCCCAGCTTTGGACCTCTTGAATATACGTACTCGTTGTAAATACGACAAGCTTTAACTGGAAGGTAGTAATGGTAACCTTCCTTTGAGTCCTTACTGTGAACCAGGCAGAATGCTATTTTGTATGCATATTCTCAGTTTACCACTCATGAGATACGTCCTTTTAGTATTTTATTTCTTTTCTTTTCTTTTTTTTTTTTGAGATGGAGTCTTGCTCTGTCACCCAGGCTGGATGAAGTGGTGCCATCTTGGCTCACTACAACATCTGCTGCCCGGATTCAAGATAGTCTGCTGCCTCAGCCTCCCGAGTAGTGGTATTACAGGCATGTGCCACTATGCCTGGCTAATTTTTGTATTTTTAGTAGAGACGGGCACCATGTTGGCCAGGCTGGTTTCGAACTCCTGACCTCAAGTGATCGACTCACCTCAGCCTCCCAAAGTGCTGGGATTATAGGCGTGAGCCACTGCACCTGGCCTCCTTTTAGTATTTCTGTTTTACTGGTAAGAAAACTGAGATTGGGGTGTACCTTACTCAGTCACTCAGCTATTATTTAATTTGAACTCAGGTCTTTTTGACTCCAGAGGCAGAGTTTTTACCCATTATATTATACCAATTTTGAGTTTCAGAGCTTCTGATATTTTATCGCTGGGCTTCAGATAATTCCTTCAAAATTCCCATCTAATGCTCTAATTGGACAAAGATTTGTTTTCTTTTACAGTTGAGTCTTAAGGGAGTACAAGAAAAGAAAGCAAAAATTCCACAGAAAAAGCAGACTAGTTGGACAGGGAAGAAACAGCTGCATCCACTTTATGTAAAGTTACATGGCCCAGTTTACGGTTTGGGATGAAACAGCGTGTTACCATTTGTCTATTCATTCTCCATGGTTTACTAGGGAAATACCATTCGTTTCCCATTACCTTTCTCAAGAGCTAGGATAAAAAGAATATTATTTTTTCGCATACATACAAACATACATATATATATACACACACATACATATATGTGAAGTAATGAATTCCCATTTTATTTGAAGAATCAAGTCTGTTACTTCTTCAATCAGCAAGATTCCAAAATTTCTTAGAGCTTTGTTGATACACCTATGAGAGTTCCCTCTTTCAAAACAAAAACGAAACACACACTTCATCTTCATATCCTGAGGTAATGAAAAAGAGGAAACATTCTCTTGATCAACGCAACACCAGAGAGTAGAACCTTATCTAATGCATGTAAATACCCAGCCCTGAATCTTCATTTATTCCTTTTGGGATTACGTGTCTTTAAGGAAAAGAGAAAAATCATTTTTCCTCCACTAACTTCATCTGAGATTGACAAGAGGCAGAAAACTGAGTAGGCTGATAATTCTTCAACTGGGGCTAAGATAAGCCAGCTTCTACTACTTTTTCTTTGAAACAAATAGAAAACTGAAAGATAGGAATTTATTACTTTATCTCCTAGATATTAATACTTTCTTTCTTTGAACTCACATGATTTCCCCAAAATGATAGTGTAAATCCTTGAGGTAGTAGCATCAAGTGATCTGAGGTTAAAAGTGAACTTGGCTAGTATCTCTCTGCCTTTGGCCAAAAAATCCAGGCTCAATCCTGGTTGCTTTCTGGAATGGGAAACACACAATATTGGGATTGCAGGCAGCTCCAGAAAGGCATGCCAGGCCTCTCATGCTCTCAATTTATATTTGCATGTGAACAGCTTGTTGGCCATTTTATGAAGACAGATGAATCACAGGCCTGCTAGAGGGGCGGCCAGACCTAAATACGCGAACTACACACCCGTACAGTCCACACATTTTTGAAGATGAAAATAAAATTATACCTCTGGAGACATCTTTAGGGAGATTATGCACAAATACAATATGTAGAAAAAAGTGAAACTTTGAAGACATCACCTACAAGTCAAGTGGAAAATAAAGAACGAAACTAGTCTATAAATACCACTCTTTAAAATGTCAACAAAAAATAAGATGTAGCTGTATATGACACTAAAAACAAACCTCCAGAGTTCTCTCTTTTTTTTTTTTTAACTGCCTGCTTTAAAAAGACAACTTTGATAAAGAAAATATCACCAAAATACCAGGATGAGGAGAGGAATTGCCAGGCAGTCCATATTTAATGCTAGAATCCAGCAATGTAATCAAATTTCTCATGGGTAGGAAATGAAACATATTCTGAAAAATCAGTGATAGGATAGCTAATGTGGTAAACTTGATCCTTCACCCCACAATACCAACATAATTCCGTTTGCCTATCTTTTCCAAAAGATTGGATGGAGATCAACATGGAACAATGTACAGAACAACAAAAGGAAGAGACTCAAGCAATGGGGTCATTCAAAGTGGGTGAAAAACAAAGTATGACAGAATTATATTGACAAGAAAAATAATAAAAGTCATAATGAACCACAGCTGACATTTTTAAAGCATAAACTCTATGAAAGATACTATGGTAAACACATTACACATATTATCTTATTTAACTCTTCAACAAACAGGTAATATTATTACCCTGTTTTAGAGGAATAAATCAATACTCTGAGAGGTTAAATAACCTATTCAGTATCACACAGGTAAGAAATAGGAGAGGCAGAATTTGAATGCAGGTCACAGCCTGAGCTTCCGCCGCCCCGCCTCCCCTGAGATGTTCTGCTCTGTTGCCCAGAGCTAGAGTGCAGTGGCGCAATCTCAGCTCACTGCAACCTCTGCCTCCCAGGTTCAAGCAATTCTCCTGCCTAAGCCTCCCAAGTAGCTGGGATTACAGCAGGCACATGCCACTACGACCGAATAATTTTTCTATTTTTAGTAAAGACATGATTTCACCATGTTGGCCAGGCTGGTCTTGAACTCCTGACCTCGTGATCTGCCAGCCTCAGCCTCCCAAAGTGCTGGGATTACAGGTGAAAGCCACCACGCCCAGCCCACAGCCTGAGCTTTTAATCACAATGGCATATTCTCCCCACAGGCCCTTCAAGGTAAAGCATTCCACCAGAGTCCTCAGTGCTATCAGCAAAGAAGAACATTTTGGAATTTTATGAGATGATATCTGTGAAAGTATGTAACACAATGTTTGTTATATGATAGGCACTGCTAGTTCACTGAAGTCTCTGTTTTTATTGAAACCGATAGTTTTATTCAATATAAAACTCCAACCCATGACAGTATTTTTCATACTTGTAGTGCCTGCCACGAATTCAAATTTTACCAGATACTATGATATTCATATATAATGTATGTTCTATTTTAATAAAGCATCTGCAACAGAAAATTTAGATATTTATGCAGCAGTGGAATTTAATGCTGCCCTGTATCCTCACTATTTTATTTTAGACAATTTAAGGTAGAAAAATCCTTCAAAGCATAGATATTTTTTTTTTTCTTAAAGGAATTGGCAAAGTGTTGAGCTCCCAAAAGGCTTAAAACTGCTTGTGAATGAATGATCTTAAATCACTAGTGAAGATGATCATGGGGCATTTGCCACATTAAAGAACTAAAATGAAATGAAAAAGCCATGACTCCTCACTTAATGCTATTAAAAAAAAATCTGATTTGGTAAATTAACCCCACTTCTCATAGTTTAATTGGGTAATCAACGTTCTTGGGAATTCAGGTTCTCATGGGCACCCTAATAGTGTTTAGGGCCGGGGGTCCTGAGGCTGCTGGGGTGATCCCGAGAACAAGAAGCTGCCCTATTAAAAGTAATCTACTTGAGTTTTTCCGAGTCTTTGGAGTTGTTCCTACTGTGGGCTACTTATAGGGTAGGCCCCCAAATCCTCACACTTAGTCGGCCTGCTGGCTGCTGTGGACTCTGAAAGCAGCAGCTAGAGTCCCAAGCTAAACTTACCATTTTCTGGCTGGTCCTTAATGTCAGCGTCACTTGGCTGGCTGGGACTTTCAGATTGACTTGAATCTGAAAAACATAAAAATACAGCCAAAAATTACAGGGTCTGCAAGGGAAAGTGCATCAGAGGTGCCAGACTTTCTCAAAAGGTTCAACCTATAAACTAAGAAAGGGAACATTACAGAAATGACATGAGACATGAAAAAAAGAAAAGATGGAAAGAGAAAAGAAAGAGAGGGAAATGCAGCAGCAGCCTGTGCCTTTAGAGAGGACGCTCCGGTTTGCGGACACCTACGGTGGCATTGGCTTTTGCCAGATCACAACTTGAAGCTCTTCAGCAACCATTCTCTTAGAGAGACCATTTCCAAACTGCTCTTCTCCACTATTTATACACTCGAGTCTGATAAAGACTTCATCCTTCATTACACACATCTGAAGCTTGATTCAGAACATAATAAAGTGTCAAAACATATTTTGAAGCTGGTATATAAAAGCAACCCAAACAACAGTAACAAGTTCTGTTGATATTTAGCTCTGCATTCCAGCAACAGACTACGCAGACTAACACCATTAAATACTAGAGTCCTAATATTCCATCACATTTTCTTGAAATAACTGCATAACTCAAAGAAGTCTTTCTGAAGGTACAAGTTTCCCCTGCTTTATAAGAATTATTTTTTTCTTGTACTGATGCATTTGGGAGATCCTAAAAGGACTTGTTTGCAAAAACAGATTTTTGTACACCTCTATAGAATTAAACATTTTTTAATTTAAAAAATATAATCATATTTTCAAACTAAAAAAGGAATTTGATTAACTTAATTTCTAAATGAAATAAGGGAAAATCAAAGTAACTTAATTTTTAAATTAGATAAAATTAACTTAGATCAAAAGAATTTCACAAAATTAGAAACAAGCATATTTATGGTACAGTTTTTGGGGAGAGGAGAGAAAAAACAGGCAAAATGTTTCAAGGGGAAAAATTTTGATTTAAAAATAAAGCGTTTTCTGAGACTTGAAGTCGTTTACAACATTGTTCAAAAGCAAACACAAAAATTTTTTTTCAACAAAACCTCTGTATCTGCGGAGAGCTTGCATCCTAACTTCAACTTGACTTCACAGGTTTTGAATTAGCTGCCTGAAATTTAACCACATTTCTGCAAGTTTAATGTAAGGTCAAAAGGTCATGACACTTAACTGTGATTAAACAGAAAATATTACTTCTATAGCAACTGAGTTATAGCATCACCCTTCTCTTTCTTGGAGATGCTGCAGAAAGAAGTGGCACTACTAGTGACCTTAGGTCTAGAAATGCTAATTTATTACTTTAAAAGACTCCCTGCTTTTAAGCAAACGAAGATTTTACTTATAAGAAAGTGCTATAGCAAAAAATATCCATTTTAAAATTTTCAGATAATCTTAACCTGGTGACTATAGCAAAAATTCTATGTTGATTCAAAGGTTTAAATAACAGAAGATGCTAAAAAGTGAATTTTTATTTGAGTCTGGCAAAGTGACAGCTTTTATCGTTCTGTAACAATTGCCACAGAGAAGACACAAACAAAATGTATTATTATATGCCAAAAACCTTTAAAGAAATCCTTCAGAATAAACTACAAAAATACAAAACCTAGACTAAAAATTAGAAATGCAAACAAATTTACATTGACCCATATTTAAAATTTTAACTACATAAATTAATATTATATATATCACAAACAATTAAAAAATACAGCATGACTACCTTCTTTTTCTTCTAGGAAACAAGCCTATAATTTTGCCATTAGAAATTACACATTAAATATTTTGAGTAGTAATTCAATGTATTTTAGGAGAAAGACATGCCTCCATTGTTTTTGTTCTGGAAAATCTTAAACCATTAATTTCTATAACTAAAATGAAAGCAAAATATCTAATTTTGTTTTAGGGAAAATTAAAATTCTTGATCATGTCCCGAAACAGATACATAAAATTTTGCCAAACATAATATTTTCTTTGGAATAATACTAGCAAACATACATCTCTATCCATGTACTACTTCTATGTGTAATATCTTTATAATTAATCACTTCTCTATGAATAAATGGAAAATAGTTTTATCTCAATTATTAGATATACAATAGCCAATTACTTTTCCGATATTTATCCATGAATATTAAAGCAAAAAGGGATCAGGAAAGACCCTAAATTTTTTTTATTTAATCTGAAAGCAGACTTCTTTCTTCTTTTCACTTTTTGTTTAAATTTGTCACCTACCTTTACAGATACATAGCATAATAATAGAAAACATGAACAACAATAAAAGATGAATATTAGGTATGTCCAAAGAAAGTTTAAAATTCCAAGCCACAGAAAAATAAGCAAACCAACAGCAAAGGAGTGAGTGGCAAGAAAATGCTCAGAGTTGGTCTGCAAGGGGCCGCCGCATTCTCGTGAAAGCTCAGATACAAACACTGGAGAAGGCATCCAGCCAAACTGAAAACGGAATTTAATTTTTCTAGTTTTATTCAAAAGCTGGAGACACCGCTATCCATCTGAGGACTGCATACTAAAATGCACCATCCTGCTAAGGGGCAAGCAAAGCCAAAGATCTACAAGAAAATGCATATGATCTCAAAACTTCAATAATTATTTTCTACCCTCGGCCGTTCAATACCATTTTCTTTTTCAGCCAAGAAGGAGCAAAACTACCCAGTCTTAGTGCTATTCTCTGCTGAGGATGCATGGACACTCTTTCTGGTATTGCAAAAGGTCACTGATGCTGTTAAGTGTGGAGCCAACCAGATGACCAAAATTATAAATTAATTTCTACCCAGGTATAATTGATACAAATGAAAGATCTCTTTCTCAAACATTTGCATTAAAACACTATCAAGAAGGTTAACAATTAATTCACTTTTCTCCTTTATATACTCCATAGACACCTGTCAGAAGCCAAGGTAACTTTGTGTCTTACTCTTTCGGACAAATATCACGTGGTTGATTGATTTCTACCACCTTAAATAATTAGGAACCTCAGAAAACAAACCCAACTGCATAGAACTGGATGTTCTTCTTGTATCTGAGTCTCCCATACCAGTGAGTTTCTCTGGCTTACTGGTTGAAAGCCAGAAGATCTGTATATTACAATGAAGAGAATTTTACTTACACTGTGTTTAAAGGATGGGGTTGGAAATGCTCTTGTAAGGAAGTACATTAGGGTTATCAATTTTTTTTCCCTATCTAGGGATTTGCTTTTTGTTTAAGGAAACTTAGACTTCAACCTAACCTTGAAAAGCAATGTTTCTTTGGATTTTTAAAAAATTTATGAGCAGAAATTTAAACCTAAAATAGACAGGGTTTGCATATGGGAGGCTAGGTTAAGAACTCTTAATTGAACTGGTAGCCATCCACCTATGCAGTTTTATGGCGCCTACAGCTATATTGCTGGAGTACTCAGACAAAGATAGTTCACTGTCAACGTAATCACTAGGGAAAGGAATAAAATAAATCCTGATGCCTACATATTTGTCTCTGCTTCCAAACGCTTGTACAATGCAAGAACGGAAACCTTGTACTGGATTTGCTACATGTACACATATTCGGCTCCTCAAACCTCAGGTCTACTCCCCTTCAGAATGAAACTTCAGTATTCCTTTGGGGAAGGTGAGGAATGACAAAAACATGTTAGTATGGTAAAATGAGTGAGGCAAAAATATAAATATCCCTTCCATGTATTTTATGTTCTTTAGGCAATAAACAAAGATAGAATATTGCTAAATCTTCCCTTTCACCTAGAATTAAACACTTTGTCCTCTCCAGTCCCTCTTTCATTGCAAATGTATCTCTTACAGTGTGATTAATATTATGCTGTAGTAAGGTGAGTTCAAACCATCTGAGAATGTCAGCTTCTAAAGAAAGGAGTTCCTTCCTACTCTTCTCTTATCCCCGGTACTTTCCACAGGGTGCCTGGCCCAGCCAAGGAGTTCAATAACTGCTGAACTGAAGAGACGAAATTTCAATTGTTGTTCAGCTTTCTGATACTGAACCACTGTCAGTGACTGAAAAATATGCTAAGCTTACACCTGAAAGGGGAGTGGGACTTCTAAGATGAGAAAGGAGCGCAAAAAGTCCTCTATCTCTGCTTGATGCCTTGCTTCTTGAGACCTGGCAAGGGAATATAGGGCATATCCCTCTGGTTTGTGAGTGGTTTGGAAATCTTACACAGTGTTTAGAAATTGCAGACAATCACCTCCTATGATCCACTGGCCCAAGCAGCACAGAGGCTGAGCTGAAGCCGTATCTGACACATAGGAGGCCCTCCAGAAATGTATACAGGTTAAAATGATGAATGATGGAGGAATATTTCACACATTTAAAAATTACAATGATTAGAGAAACCCACCATATTCTGGTGCCTGTAGACTGCCTCAAAATCCTCACAACTGCTGTTGTGAATTTCTTGATAAAGGAAAAGCAGACACACTGGTGAGGAACCCTTCCCACCCTAAAACAAACCGATGTCATTCCTGGTCCATCAACACGATAGCAACCAAAGTCTATGGACCATAAAAGCACAAATTCTGGTTCCACTAGAAAAATAATATAGCCTAAGTTTCAGCCTCCCTACATGCATAATGATTTGGCTAAAGATGAAGTCTGAAGAGCCTTTGTTAGAATTTTATGTCCAGTTTTAAATCTCCCAAATTAAAAGACGGTATGAAGAAACCAGAAGGCATCCAAACCCAAAAATATTAGTGAAAGAAATAAAGCGAAAATTCCACTCTCATGAGCTAGAGTTGTTTGTAGTATAAAAACTAAAAGGCAAAGACAGGAGTGAATACTTTCCTGCAAATAAATGAAGAGTTAGGAACATTTCTGAGGTAAAAGAAAGTAAGGAGTAAGGGTGATTACACTCTGAGTGTAATAAGCAGTTACCCTCTACAACTGTAGACCTTAAAGATGTTCAAAATTTAGATAAGTTTTAGTTTCTGAGGGTTTGGGAAGATAAGTACTCTGCAGAAGAGGCCAAGGAATTCATTTTTCTACATCTATAAGGTTGTAATAGAGAAATAATTCTGTTCTTATGAGTAACATAATTTTTAAAATTACTCTGTTTTGATCAGCCAGTACCATAAGTTTATTACATTAACGAAATCCAGAAAATCAAATAACTATAATAGTCACATTTTGCTTATTAGTCTCACAGCTGCAGTTATAAAAGAAATTATTATTGTAATACTTTGTAATATTTAGGAAAATTATCTATTTTTTCCAGTATGACCGTGACCTTAAAGACTGACGTGTGAAGAAAATATTGGAAAAACCTTATTTGAGAATGTAGAATGTCAGCGTACAGGTGTACACATGTATATACAATTTGTAGCTTAAGGGTAAACATTGATGAATACAACACCATCAGCTAAATATAATATTATCCATCATGGTCTGGTTAAGAACAAACAGAAATCTGTAACACCATTACTAAATCCGGACCACCGAAAATATGCAATTATGATTAGCATTTACAGAGAATGAATAAAATCTTTTAAGCTCAGTGAATAACCAAACTAATATTTAAGGTCAATTAATGTACACAACTGTGGCCCGCTTAATGAAAATTAACGTACAATAACCGAGTTCCTAAAACAGATAAAAGATGAGGTGAGTCATACCATAAAAGTTTTCTTAAGCTTTAAAAATGGAAACACTCTGTGGTTCTTTAAATGGGAAATCTTATCATTACTGGATTTTAAATACAAAATTTCATCTTTATAACTTTCCCAGCAAGCTAGAATTGAGTGTTTGTCTAGATATATGTACACGGTAACTGCAGTAATTAATGTATGCAGAGTAAGTCCTTTATCGAAGGGAGATGGGGAGCTGTGGCGGGGTGCAGGGGAACTCCTAGCTCCAAAAGGACCAGGCTAGTTTGCACGCATTGGTCCTCATCTCCTCTACTCCTGATTCAGACAGGGAGCAAGGTCTGTGTTCCTGCAGCAGCCACTTGGAAGGGCTCCCTCCACCAGACCACCCTGGGGGCTGCCAGCTGCTCTGGAGATCCACCCCTTAGTCACTCCCCTGTACCGCATTGTCAAGGCCTACTTAAGACTGTTACATAATCTAGGTTACTACCATTTTCTTTCTCAAAACTTTTCTTTTTGTAATGCCTTTCTGGCCACAAGTTTGTGAAATATTAAATTTACAGAAATTCAACTTTTCTGGTATTTCATTAATGTTGGTATTCCAGGGCCCATCTGTTTAGTCGGTACTGTGTACGATGATAAGACTGTTTAAGTTGAAGAGTGAGTCAACTGCCTTATCACCTACTCATCAATGTGTTATTTTTCTACATGCACAAGGAGGTTGCAGAATGATACACAGTTCTAACACGTTGAGAAAAAAATGAAATGGCATAACTATTGTTGTGTTATGACAGTGAGGGGAGGATCATTTCTAAGCTTTAAAAATGACAAATTCAGTCACTCTGAAAGTAATGACAAAATGACTCAATCATTAAACCTTCAATCTTCGCATGAGGCTGAATTTCAAGTAATGATCAGCTTTTTCAGTGATGTTATAAATGAAGTCAATGGTAAGAAGCTGGTGATTATAAAAGACAGGCAAACATGATACTTTGACTAAGTTTGTAACTTCTCACATTTTCTTTGAGAAGACGCTTTGACTAAACTAAACTAAAATGTCTAGGTAATCATTTTGAATTTTGTTTTCCCCATAAGAGGCGCTGTGTTCACAGCGGTGCCTGCTGATTAATTCAGAACTCAAGTTATTGAGTCTACCCGATCACCTACCCACTCCCATGTAAACAAAGACCTGCTTAAAAAGCCATCCCTGCAACATTATTGCATAGCAGAATTGTGCTTAATTTCCCCATTTAGTCACTTTTTTCACAATCAAAATTAATCTTAACACTAGGTTCTTGGAGTTCTTCAACAGGATGATATATACTTGAAGATTACTCATACAGCCATCTATACTACTTAATGTAGAAAATGTCCCTGTATTCTTTCCTACTATAAAATACATGCTTCAAATGAAAATGAAGGATAATTGAGTTATAATCTACATGCATTATTTTCATGTACCTGGATGTCTGCACAAACTTTTATTGAAATAATAAAATGCCCTCTATCAAGTGTAAACATGCTATTTAAGTCCAGGTAGCACCTTAAAGTACTAATTTTCTTGCATTCATATTCCACCATTGAAAAGAGTATGAAATGGTAAAAAGATGGTGTCCTAGAAACCTCAGCTATATAATTTAACTGTGCTGGATCTCAGTTTCTTCATCTGTAAAATGGAGACACTACTGATGATTTTGCCTAACTTAACAGGATGTTGTGTGGTTCAAATAAAATAAAGCAAGAAAACCTGGTTTTGAAACTCATAAAGGCCCCCCAAAATGTACATTTACCTCTGCCCTACAGATCTTCACATCCCAACAAGTTTTTCGTTTCTTTGTGAAAATCAACCCCAACCGACACATGATGTGATTCTAGTATAAAACATCAGGAGCACAGACCTGGTTTTAAAGAACAGGTTCTTAATTCTCATATACTGGGAAAGAGATTATCTTTGATAATGAAATGTAAATCTCAGCTTGCCGTTGTTTATTCCAGACAGACATTTGTGTGTTAAGTCTGTTTATCAGGCAACACTTTGTCTAAGCCAGGAAGTAGTCAGTCTTTGTAACAAGATGTATGCAAATGAATTTCCCATGAGTCTCTGCAGCAAATTGTAGCAGAGAAAAAATAATTCCTTGTTACTTTACCAGCAAGAAGCTACCTCAAAAGTAGACTAGAGACAGAGAACTATGAGCTAGACTATGCTGATGAGTTTAAATGAGTCCTAAACATGTGCTCACAGTCTGTTGCTCTTTATTCTAAGCAGACTTGGTGCATTACATCTGTTTATCAGACAACACTGTCTGGATATTCAAGCTTTGGAACCTGTGTGAAAATGAACAGTGACCATAATCCCATGAAATAACCTGTCTGTGGCAAAACTCCAAACCTCCTGCACTTTAAGAATTCTCACCAACAGAAACACCCACAAAACCTTAGAAACTTTAAAAAAAAATACATCCAGCTCTAACTCTTTGTCACCTTCTATCATAAATAACTTTTGTACAGGCATTGGATTTCCTAATGGTAATGACAGATTCATGTCAGAATGGTGAATTGCATCAAGCAAATTAGACTGATCAATAAAATATTTGCCAACAACAAATGTCTTATTTAAGTATCAAAACAGAGCTTTTAAAATAAAATACCTTCTATCATAATAGAAAGTATTCTTTAATTCTATTATTAAAATATTTGTCCGAAGTCTTCTTTATTCCTAATATAACCAATTCTTTTTTTTTTTTTTAAATTCTATACGTGAAGAGTTGAACAGTGTATTCATTTTCTTTTTGCTTTTCTTGTCGGTTTTCTACAGGGTTTGAAAATCTTACCGAAGGAATCAAATTGGTTTAGCTTGTCTTCCTAGACAAAATAAACACTTTAGGACTCTACTTGTTTGTATTCTCCTCAGTGGCGCTGTATGCATCAGCAGCTAAAAACAAAGAAACTTTTTAGCTGCTCAGACAAAATGCAGAAGCTTCCCAAACAACGAGGCAAGGGAGGGAGCACGGGTTCAGGGGACGGTGGGGGTGGAGAAGTGTGCGGAGAGTCTGACAGTCCATTCAATATAGGGATGATGGCTATAATGCATCCAGGGTCCCCTTGCTAATTAAATATGCATTGGCACAGTTTTGATCGATGCAAGCCATGGATCAGATGACACACCTGCAAAATCTTGAGCCCAGAGCTCCCAGGAAAAGGGAAAATACAGTCTTGTCTCCTTATCTTTGTTTTCAAAGGCTCTCAATTTCTGTGCTTAGATATCTAATTTAATTCTCTCACCCCTCAGCAAACTGGATTAGGGAAGTCAATACTGCCTTTGTGCATCAACAGGAAAACACAGCTTTCCTTTTATTCAATTTAGCTATGACCTTTAGACAAAGATAATGACAACTGTCTAAAAGTAAGGTTAAGGCCTCAAGAAGAAGACCCTCAGAACTAAGGCTCCCTAGAAATTTTGGATGACAAGGTGGTAGGGTTTACTGTGACATATCCCTTCCTGGTGAGAATAAAAGGAAGAAAGGGAATTAAGAATTGGTGTCGGGGGGTGGGGGCAGGGGAGTAGAGGGGCAGGAAGATAACATGGTAGAAGAGATTTGAAACCACAGAATAAATGACTAAACTCTGAAAAAATCAACTGGGTCTTGTCATATCCATAATCAGAAAATAATTCTGTGAAAGGATAGGAGTAAGAATGGCACAGTAACAATTTGCCTAAAAAATGCAGAAGCCTTAATGAGAAGGTTGAAGATTCTGTGGTTGGGTAAATCAGGAATTTCTTTTCCCCTTGAAGCATTTGAGAAAACAGGATTGTGTATGGAGTTTTGCCACAGACAGGTTATTTCAGTGTGTTGGTGAATCCCACTGCTGAGGAAAGCTATAACTAGAGATTCTAGACAAGTCTGGGATTCTGCAGTCATAGCAATATTCATACCACTACTCCTACCCAAAGGGGAAATGATACTGGATCATTCTCCTCTGAAACAACACAGGTTTTTTGATTTAGTTGTCTTTGGGCCTATCCATCTCGTTCATTCATTCATTCGCTTGGCATCTACTATGGTGCCTTTCACCCTGTATACCTGGAGATACAAAATGAAAAAAGGCAAGGTCCCTCCCCTCAAAAAGCTCCTAATCAGGATAAAGATTCTGTGACATCCCCTCTTGACTAAATCCTATCTCCTGGTGAAACTGGGGTAGAGCAACAAGTTGTTGTGTACATTCATAATTGCTTTTATTCTTTTACTATTAGCAGCAATCAATACCACTAAATGTACCCTTGGAACAATTTACAGCAGCCCTGATACTAACTGGCGGTGGTAGTGGTTAGGGTTAGCTCTTCTAGTGAGATAAAGAGAGGTTTAGGCAGAATCTTTTTTTAAGTGAAATATTAAGCTATTACTGCATAACTAGCATTGCTGGAAATGGTGTAAAGTATCCAATTTTTTTTTTTCTTGAGACGAAGTCTCCCTTTGTTGCCCAGGCTGGAGTGCAATGGTGCAATCTCGGCTCACTGCAACCTCCGCCTCCTGAGTTCAAGTGATTCTCCTGCCTCAGCCTCCCAAGTAGCTGGGATTACAGGTGCTGCCACCACGCCCAGCTAATTTTTGTGTTTTTTGGTAGAGACAGGGTTTCACCATGTTGGCCAGGCTGCTCTCGAACTACTGACCTCAGGTGATCCACCCACCTCAGCTTCCCAAAGTGCTGGGATTACAGGCATGAGCCACGGCACCCAGCCTAAAAGTATAAAAATATTTTTTTTTAAATCAGACTTTTCTCCTTAGAAACAATTGCATACATAGTACAGAATGTTATTCTGAATTAGGCCTGGTATCCTCCCTTTAATAGAAATGACAGTTCTACCAGAAGTAGCTATGGTATAGTGAAAAAAGGCAAAAGGCATGATAAAAGAAAACCTGGGTTTGAGTCCCTTCTTGGCTATTTATATTAGCTTTGAGGAATTGGGCAAGCCCCTTTACCTCCCTGAACCTCAACTGACTCATTCCAAATACCTGACTCTAGAGAGTACCAGGACTGAATGGCATGATTTACAGTGCCTTGTAAATTATGAGTGGCTATAATTCTCTAACTGTTCACTGCTTGGAAGCAGGTTTTCTAAAGCATATAGACTGGTTAAAGCATCATGCTATTTAATTTTCTGTCTCATTTTTACTGGCAGATAGCACCATGCCTGGAACATACAGATACTAACACATGTTTGTTGAAATGGAATTTAAATACAAAGATGAAAAAATAGCTCTTTCAGGCCAGGTACAGTGGCTCATGCCTGTAATCCCAGCACTTTGGGAGGCCGAGGTGGGCAGATCACCTGAGGTCAGGAGAGTTTGAGACCAGCCTGGCCAATATGGAGAAACCCCGTCTCTACTAAAAATACAAAAATTAGCTGGGCGTGGTGGAGCATGCCTGTAATCCCAGCTACTTGGGAGGCTGAGGCAGGAGAATTGCTTGAACCGGGAGGATGGCTTAAACCCAGGAGACAGAGGTTGCAGTGAGCTGAGATCGTGCCACTGCACTCCAGCCTGGGACACAGAGTGAAACTCCGTCTCAAAAATAAAAATAAAATAAAATAAAAAATAAAGAAAGAAAGAAAAAAAATTAGCTCTTTCAGAGCCATAAAATACAATAGGGTCTCTCTTGGGAAAGGTCAATAGGTGTTTGGGGTGTTCTTTCTGGTTTGGAGGAGACTCTATGACTGGAAGATGGTATGTTTCATGTGGTAAGAAGGGTCTCTATGGGAGTCAGGAGGTCTACTTTCTGGTCGTAAATCACCCATTTTCCCTTGGATATGTAAATTCTTACCTCTCCAGGCCAGAATATCTATAGATGAAGGTGAGGGTTAGGTGTTCAGCAAAGGTTCTTTCCAGCCTTTCTACATTTGAAACACATCACTAGCAATTGAGCTGTTGGTCTTCGGCTGCATTCAAGGCTAAGACTCTCATTTCATCAAAAGGCACTGAGTGATATTTGCTTATTTGCTGCTGATCATAAGTGCAATTAGAAATAACATGAGTGCAATAATCACTACAAGTCATAAACTGTGTCTTATTATACTTTATAAATGACCGCAAATAGCCCACTAACAGTTGCAAATGTTTATTTTCAGTGACTTGGCTAACCCCTGACCACAGAAGGCCATAAACTAAGTTTTTTCCTTTATATCTTGACCCATCGGGTCTTCCAGAAAACTTTGTGTTTCAGGAGCTACTAAAAAGATATCCTCAAAGAATTTAATCTAGATCCTAGAATTTAGGATAATACTTAAAAATATGTATTTTAGATATACCTTCTCTACGTTATATTATTAAAATAATGTGTTTTCAATTTCCACATTGACAATAACTTTTCTGTAATAACTTGGTTTTTGAACCTATAACAAATACACATGAATATAGGGAGTTAATCATTTGGTAACCAATAAATGCTCCACAGACTTCCCATATTATAATAAACCTCAGGTAATATCTGATTCTTCAGAAATTCACCCAAGCCTTTCCTAAGTGGAAATAGGCATATATTTTGCTTCTATGTCTTTATGAGAGATAAAATTATTTAAATGATGTAAGTGAATCATTTCACTTATAGGAGCTTCTGTTTGAATTCTACCATGGCTTTCTCCCTGACATATGCAGTGCTAAGTTATTTAAAATTAATTGCAGTACAATATTTTAAAATTTCTTCACATGGTGCTAATCTCGAGTGCTTTGGATGTTTGAACCACACTTGGAAGCCATCAAGTTCTGTGTATCTTTATACTATGGAACAGTGGAACATGCTAAAAGGATTAGTCAGTGATTTTCCAGTGAACTTTAATCTATAACCAAAGCTATACTGAATTACAAAACTTCAAAGATGTATGAGTTGATACAAATGGGAAAACTGCAAACATCCTATATAACAAGGAAAAAACAAACCTAGATAACTAAAACACGTGAATTCGCTTATGTAGCTTTGAAATCCTGAAACGCTTTCAAAGATCAGTAACCAGTCATGGGGTCCCACCCACTCAAACCCAGCTCAGTACCACTGAGCTTCTGTGCTCTCGCCTTCACCCAAAGTTCATTCCATCTGTCATTTACACCTAAGTACACTATCTACATTCTTGTCTGTAGTTACACTGGGGGGAGATAAAAATATTTTCCATTTCAGTAACTCAGTATTTGTGAGTAATTTGCTTAGTAATAATCCCAAAATTAAATTGTCTTCGTATAAGGACTACTAATAGTTTGTGTGGGATTTGCCAAATAAACTACCTTCGGGAAATCCTTTTTTTTTTTTTTTTTTTTTTTTTTTGTAAGGTGGAGTTTTGCTCTTATCGCCCAGGCTGGAGTGCAATGGTGCGATCTCGGCTCACTGCAACCTTCGCCTTCCGGGTTCTGGCAATTCTCCCGTCTCAGCCTCCTGAGTAGCTGGGATTACAGGCGCCCACCTCCATGCCCAGCTCTTTTTCTTTTTTGTATTTTTTAGTAGAGACAGGGTTTCACCATGTTGGCTAGGCTGGTCCTGAACTCCTGAGCTCAAGCAATCCACCCGCCTCAGCCTCCTGAAGCGCTGGGATTATAGGCGTGAGTCACCACGCTCAGTCAAATTCTTTTTTTCTAAAAGCTTCTTTTTTGTCACCTGGATGTATTTTAATAGAAAATCATGTTTGCTGGGAGGACTGTCTCTAACATACGTGCTATTTCAATAGCTGATCATCAAAAAGTCCAAGAGGGCGATTGGAACTTTTACTCTGATTCACTTTTCAAAAATCAGCATGGATCCCTCACTCTAAAGAATGACTATTGATTAACCTTTCTTAGGAGGAGGAAGCTTGTTTATGTCAGGGCCTCAAACATTTGTTATCACCTACTGTGTGCAAAGCATTATTCAGTCTTGAGATAGCTCATCATGTTCACCAAGAATTCCATTCATTCAACTCTGTATCATTTATAAAAGTTTACACTTTTTTTTTTTTAAGTCAGAGTCTCACTCTGCCACCCAGGCTGGAGTGCAGTGGTGTGATCTCTGCTCACTGCAACCTCTGCCTCCCGGGTTCAAGCGATTCTCCTGCCTCAGCCTCGTGAGTAGCTGGGACTCCAGGTGCATGTTGCCATGCCCAGCTAATTTTTGTATTTTTAGTAGAGACAGGGCTACGTTGGCCAGGCTTGTCTTGACTTCCTGGCCTCAAGTGATCCAGCTGCCTCAGCCTCCCAAAGTGCTGGGATTACAGGCGTGAGCCACCGTGCCCAGCCAATGCTATTTGTTTTTTGAGAGTAGCTACTTCCCTCGTCTTCACTGGTGGTGAGAACATGGAGTGTCTCTGTGTTAGAACCCTTGCCAAAGTCTATCAGGAGGTAAATATTCCTATGAATAGGTAATGGCTTATCTATTTTATATTCAACAAAAATTACTTATCTCTTGGCTTTACGGTTTTTCAAACATTTTGGTCATGGTGGAAGCCTATTCACAAGAAAGAGCCTATAGGAAGGCTGGGGCGCCTGTGTGTAAAACACAAGCGAGCAGTTCTACCTGCCCGTCATGCCCTGTTATCACACATCCTCACCCCACACTCCTGCCTGTGCTGGGCTCCTCACAGCAATGTTTAAACCCTGGCAGCATCAGCACAGCCAAGGCACTAACCTGTGGCTGTGAGTGATACCAGTATCACCTCTGTCTTTTTGCAGATTTACAGCCTTAAAGTAAGCAAAGAATAACCAGTGATTCAATCAGTTTGGTTAACATCTACAGACATTTCCTTTGGAAACTCTGTCCTGTTTTAATTTTTGGTTACTAGGAAAGAAGATAAAAACAAATCATTATTGGGAAAAACAAAGTCAAAGGAGAAATAGTTGGAAAAGGAAAAAGAAAGAGGTAGTAATAAAAGAAGTGCTATCCTTTGAACAGGTGACAGAAATAGCAACTCTTCAAATGAGATGGGAAATTTTATTGGCAACAAACATGGGAAAAGTTATAAGTAAGAATCAGAGTTTATTCAAGAATTAAAGGTGAAACAATATGCGGCAAGGTGTCTCCGAATTATCAGGTTAGTGTTGGGGATGGATGGAACAACACAGCAGAGCTACATGGGAATGAGGTGAAAGAAGGGATGAAAGTCCTTCTTTCATTTCCTTTGATTCTGGCTATCACCTCCCAAAATAGCACATAATTCCATAAGGAGACTATTCCATTTAGTAACTTTGAGACAATTCTTTCTTGATACTTTTGCCCAAATGATTTCCAAAAAAATCACTGAGTGTGTTTTCATTTTCCATTTTTACTTTATACTTTAATAACTCATCTATTGACTTAATGATTTCCTTTTCTCCTCTAAATGGAGGTCCTATAGAAAGGAAAGCATCTCTTAAGTTTTAGTCAACAAAGCCATAAGTCTTGACTACACTCATGCTCATTACAGCCTCACGTCTACACCATTGTAGATATACATTCTTCCAGTTGGCCTTAAAATCAACATGCCTTTTGTTTTAATGCTGCCTCGTTGGTACTGTTAAGGACATGTTTAGATTTCAGACTTTAAACAAACATATTTATAAGGACTTTCATTAAAAACGTTAGGCAAAACATTTTAAATTAGCAGAAAGTAACATCTCACCAGTAGTAGACAGAAATAAATTATTCAAAACTGTATACAAACACTGAAGTCATAATGAACAAAGTCATGCTGTAAGAAACCTCACTGTGAAAAGCTGGTACTTGCACAGTAATTGGGAGTGAAACAAAATACAAATTTTCACATAAAAAAATCTTACCCATTGCTTTTCATAAATCACTCAAAACTCCCCATTGTAGCACTCTCAAGGCAGAAACTCTTTATTTCCATAAAGAGAGAGAGTATAGAACAACATTAAAAGTCCCAAGACTCTTAGAGAAGAAATTCATGCAGAACATCAAATGTTACTCAACATTTTCAAGTAACCATAATATGTCAAACAGACCACATGATGCAAGTACATTTAAATATAAGTTTCTATTTCTGTTTTAAAATAAAAAAGATCAGAAATCTGAATCTGGAAAAGCAAAATCTCTTGCAGGTTTAGAAAGCATATACAAAACCTGGCAAAAGAAAACACTATTCACTGCCACCATCTGCTTTCTGGCACACTGAGGAAACTTTTACTAACAGCAACATTTTCTTACATTAGAAAATCCACTAATTAGTTTTGTTGTAATAAGAAAAATAACCTTTGCATGGAAGGCAGATCGCCAGCTTGCTTTTTTTGTTGTTGTTGGCTGTACCTTACATTAGGCCTGTAACATTTCCACGTAAAGTTAACCTCTTACTGAGTTCTCTTCTCCTAGAGTACTTTATTATTCCTGTTTAGTCTAAAGTAAGTACAGATGCACTTCGACTTATGATGGGGGTTGCATCCTGATAAATCCATTGGAAGTTGAAAGTATCATCAGTTGAAAATGCATTTGATACACCTAAACTACCAAACATTACAGCTTAGGCTAGTCTACCTTAAATGTGCTCAGAACACTTAACGTTATCCTGCAGTTGGGCAAAATCATCTAACACACAGCCTCTTTTATATTAAAGTGTTAAATATCTCATGTAATTTATTGAATACTGTACTGAAAGTGAAAACCAGTATTGTATGGGTAATCAAAGTCCCATTTTTATGGAATGTGGATTCTTAAGTTGAACCATCCTAAGTTAGAGACCATCTGTATTCATAAATGTGAGTGCAACAGAGGGGAAAAGCTTGAAGGTATTTGGCTTAACAACCCCTCAAAATGGACATCAAGTTCAGAATCAGGAAACCTGGGATTCAGAATCAACTGTTAGAAGCTGGGTTAGCCTGGGTCTTATGTACCTCATCTTTAAGGCCACTAAATAAAATGGGCTCCAGATTTCCCCTAAAATTCCTAAATTATTTGACTGTAAGTCATTTTTTCCTAAGAATTGTAGGTCCTAAGAAACAAATGACTTCAAAAGAGCAAATGGAGCTTCAGACATCACTGACAAACACTAAATAACTTTAGAAATTGTGTCATAGATATACTGATTACAATATTACAAATCATTCAGCAACCAAGGAAGTGGAAACTCTATGAAAATTTCTTGGCCGGGCGCAGGGGCTCACGCCTGTAATCCCAGCACCTCGGGAGGCCGAGGTGGGCAGATCATGAGGTCAGGAGATCGAGACCATCCTGGCTAACACGGTGAAACCCCGTCTCTACTAAAAATACAAAAAATTAGCCGGGCCTGGTGGTGGGCGCCTGTAGTCCCAGTTACTCCAGAGGTTGAGGCAGGAGAATGGCATGAACCCGGGAGGCGGAGCTTGCAGTGAGCCGAGATCAGGCCACTGCACTCCAGCCTGGGCGACAGAGCGAGACTCCGTCTCAAAAAAAAATAGTAATTTCTTGATAATATACTCTAATCATTTACTCAGCATATCATTCCACAAATAAAACTACAAATATTTATTGAGCATGTACTATGTGCCAAGCACTACTGTGAGTGCTAGAGATGAAGTCGTGAACAAAAAAGGCTCACCAAGCTCTGTCCTCACCCAGTCTATATCACAGGAAGCTTGTCACCTAGTGAGCTGACATTCATCCGCTGATGAATTCATTCGCCAACTGCAAATCGCTACACTGTGCAGAACAGAACAGTGACATAGTCTCTGGCGCCTGCTCACTGCTCGAAAAGTCTGCATGAACGTTCCTTAAGAAGACAAAACAAATGGGTACAAATACTATTTTCTGAAAAAGTGCATGGAAAATAGGTGTCATGTCCTTCAGAACAAAACAGGACACTGAGGCAGTAACTGTGACAGTTTGGACACAGCTTTTCTGTGAAAGACGTCTGCGACCTAAATTCCTCAAAGAGGCCCTGTGCCTTGAGTGAACACATTCACTAGTTCAAAACTCATCTCTTCCATTCCCTTGATTTTTTTTCCATAGGCTTTAACTTAGCTAAATTTAAAAACAAAGCTGCAACACAAGATGAGCTATTGCAATCTCAAAAGTCCCTCAGCCTAAGGAATGAGTGACAGGCACTGCAAGTTTAATTACCCCACTGGGATTGCAAAAACAAACCCATTCTACTCTTCTCAACTGCACGGCAACAATGGCTTTATTAACCCTCAATTGTCATTTAAAAACATTAATTAAAATTGTAACACTTCATCCAATGCTTTCTACCAAATATTTGAAAAGATTTCGGTTAAACTGTCCCAAAAATTGGCTTTGCTTCTACCTTGTTTACGCCAACAACCTTCTTAGGCACAGGAGGTAATTACACTCTTTCCCAATCTCTGTTAGTCACATGTATACAGCACAGATCTCCGTCTTAAATTTAGGATTCCATCCTTCTATTCTAACCAGTGTAGAAGATAACGTCAGAATCCTTTCCCTTCCTCTTGGCAGAACTCATCATTCCTTCCTCTGGCTCCCTACACCCTGGTTACTGAGAATGGGACTCAGATCCTAATTCATTTCTCTGTGTATATAACTCCCACGTGCCTTCCCAACAAGTTATAAGCCCTTGAGGGCACACAGCTCGTACTTGCCTAAATGAAGTGCTTGCACATAATATATGTTCAATAAGTGAGCCTTGAATGGAAGAACAGAGAGGGGAAGGGCCAGTCCGGGCAAGATTTTAAAGGAAGAGTAGAAATCTATCTCAGAGATGGCTTATAGACTTTTCTATCTCCTAGCAGAAACAAAGTCCAGTTACAAAAAAGTATACATTTTTCAATTAAGGCTAAAATTCCTAAACTGGCTACACATTAGGGAGCAAATTTCTTCTCTTTATCAGGGATGGGCAAAATGTGTCATCTATGGTCATAATAATCCTAATTGACAATGTAATATTTGAAATATAAACCAACAAAAATTAAAATTTAAAGAAGTGGATAGACAGTTTTCACAATTCTTTGCAAATTTTGTAGGAACCAGAGTCTTTAAAAACATTTCCTGGCCAGGCATGGTGGCTTATGCCTGTAATCCCAGCACTTTGGGAGGCCAAGGCAGGTGGATCGCTTGAGCTCAGGAGTTCGAGACCAGCCTGGGCAATGTGGCAAAACCCCGTCTCTACAAAAAAATTAGCTGGGTGTGGTGATGTGTGCCTGTAATCCCAGCTACTTAGAAGGCTGAGGTGGGAAGATCACTTCAGCCCAGGAGTCGAGACTGCAGTGAGCCATGATCATGTCACCCCACTCCAGCCTGGGTGGCAAAGTGAGACCCTGTTTCAAAAAAATAAAAAAAAAACCACATTTCCTATTATCTGTAGTAGGAATCCATTAGTTTATAGTCAAGTTCTGTTTAATGTGAATCCTGTTAGGTCCTTACTATAGAATATTTCTATAGTATGTGACTCTGGGCTTCTGCAGCAATGGTTTCATAATTGCTGAAGACCCCTTAATATACATCAGACAGCAAAGAACACTTCAGTACACATATGAGGAAGTAAAACAACCATGTTGGGACTAGTGTGTCTACAGGTCTGCTGTTAATGAGAAGAGAAGAGCAACAAAAATAAAGACATCAGAAGTTACATCTATAGATGACTGCAAATACAATATGAAAAAGTCCTTTTGGTTTTCATTGTAGCACGCATTTAAAAAGATGGGTCTAGAAACTGTGTTGAAAATGTCAGGCTGGCAACAAACTCCAACATGTAGCCTGTTTCCACACCCTATCTCACTCAACTGAATTGCTTTTATCTTTGGCATGATGTATACACAATCACAGATAAAATTAAATTCTTTTAAAAATCTGACCTGCAGTTGAGAATGCTGTTTCCAAAATTAGCCAAAAGTTATGAAAATGGCTTATTTTTATGTATCTACATTTTATTAGATGCTATTTATTAACATACTACAGGTATATTCAGAATATCAATAAAGTGATGTGGAATTGTGCAGATAATAAAATAATACACACTTTCAAGGCACATAGTATACATGATAAAAGATGATGAACTAATAATAAAGATTAAGGGTCCAGGATTACATCCCTGTAATCCCAGCACTTTAGGAGGCCAAGATGAGAGCATCATTTAAGACCAGCCTGGGAAACTTAGCAAAACCCTGTCTCAGGAAAAAAAAAAAAGAAAAAAAGAAAAAAAAAAAAAAACAGCTAAGCATGTAGTCCTAGTTACTCAGGAGGCTGAGATGAGAGGATCACCTAAGTCCAGGAGTTTGAGGCTATGCTGAGCTATGATTGTGTGCCACTGCACTCCAGTTCTGGCAACAGAGTGAGACCCTGGTTTGAAAAATAAATAATAAATAAACAAAGATGAAGGAAACAATATTCAAATAACATGAGAGGGGAAAAAGCTTCACTTACGAACTCAGTAGAGCTGGGTGTGGTGGCTCACGCCTATAATCCCAGCACTTTGGGAGGCCAAAGTAGGCAGATCATGAGGTCAGGAGTTCGAGACCATCCTGGCTAACATGGTGAAACCCCGTCTCTACTAAAAAAATACAAAAATTAGCTGGACATGGTGATGTGTGCCTGTAATCCCAGCTACTCGGGAGCCTGAGTCAGGAGAATTGCTTGAATCCGGGAGGCAGAGGTTGCAATGAGCCAAGATCATGCCACTGCACTCCAGCCTGGGTGACAGAGGGAGACTCTGTCTCAAAAAAAAAAAAAAAAAAAAAAAAAACAACGCAGTAAAAAATATAAAAAACAAAATCATGACTGGAGACAATTCTCTACCTCTGCACAAACATGCTTATCCTGCTACAGAGGACTAGTTAACTGAGCTGAGACAGCACAGACACACTTCTCTCACATTCCCACAACCTATTCTTGCCTCAATTCTCTGGGTACCTGAGGTAAAACGCAGCTAAGGATATTGGGTTTTCCTCTGGCTGAATAGAGGAACCGATCTTGAAAAACATAAATAAAAGAAACTAATTATTTGCGAATTTGCTAAAATAGATGGACTGTAAAACAACAAAACAAAACAAAACAAAAAACCCAACTGGTAGTCCTTTAATTATAACACTTAAATGCAGCTCTAAGTTGAAAGGTTTTAATTTATTTACCAAATTTATGAAAATGGTACATCTTTCTCTCAAGCCTTGAAGTTCTCGTCCCAGGCTGGCACAAGCACACACACATGCAGTGCCATGTGTATGGCACTGTGAGTGAGTCTTTTTGGGCCCTTACAACAGAGGGTCCTAAATAAATGATACAAGGATCATTTACTGGATCCTTGTATTTTGCTAACTACAGACCTGTGTAAACCATATTCTTGCAATCAAAACATGAAAGTATACAACATACAAGCACACAAACCATGACTGTTAACTTTCCTCTTTCTGTATTTCCCTTTTGACCAAAACATAACAAATAGCAGTATAAAGGTAGAATCTGGGCTCAGAAAATTCTCACTTTCTGGTTTAAAATGAACAACACTTAGGGACTAAACCAAGCTCGTCCAACCCACGGCCCAGGGGCCACATGCAGCCCAGGACAGCTTTGAACACGGCCCAACACAAATTCGTAAACTTTCTTACAACATTATGAGATTTTTTTTTTTTTTTTTTTTTTTTAGATGGAGTCTCACTTTCTCACCCAGGCTGGAGTGCAGAGGTGCGATCTTGGCTCACTGCAACCTCTGTCTCCTCGGTTCAAGCGATTCTCCTGCCTCAGCCTCCTGAGTAGCTGGGATTACAGGCACGCACCACCACACCCAGATAATTTTTTTTGTATTTTTAGTAGAGATGGGGTTTCACCATGTTGGCCAGGCTGGTCTTGAACTCCTGACCTCACCTCAAATGATCCACCCGCCTTGGCCTCCCCAAGTGCTGGGATTACAGGCGTGAGCCACCATGCCTGGCCAACATGCTAAGATTTTTTTGCGATTTTTGTTTTAAGCTCATCAGCTATCGTTAATGTTAGTGTACTTTATGTGTGACCCAAGGCAATTCTTCTTCTTCCAATGTGGTCGAGGGAAGCCAAAAGATTGGACATGCCTGGACTAAACGATATGCTAGGTATTTACAGAGCTAGAAATACTTCCTAGTGAGCTTACATTTGGTCTACCCGAGGGCAGCCTAGCAGCGGCCACATTAGTTGACATGGGAAGCTTGAGCCCCAAATTAAAAATCAACAAGCACAAGATCTGTATTATACAACAAAGTACCGAAGTTTTCATTTCTGTGATATATAAATTGTATGATAGTAAGAATCCTATGATCCCGTGTGAGGTGCCAAGAAAAAAGAGGTATCTTTTCTACTTAGTTTCACAACTGCCAGTCAGGTGCCAAGGTGACTTGAAGACCAAAACTTCCCACCAAAACCAAACCCTAGTTCTATTTCCACTATGGAACACAATAAAAATCTACTCGTAAAAGATTTTGAGTCTCCCACAAAGTAACATACTTTTAATGTGACCACATTTCAAACAGTTTACCCATCACAATAAGATCTGAAATACACATGGCATGTCTCCTTAGTCTGTTTCCCTTATTACACATGTGGTTTCCTCTTTCTAAATTCGGACTTATGCCCCATTTTAGAAGGTCAGGAGAAAGTAACGCATAATGCAAAAGTATTTCAAGCAAATCATATGATATCTGTACTTGATAATTTCTCATGGTTTTACACCAAGAGAATCACTGCATATTGAAGATTACACATTTTTTAAAAGCTAGAACACTGAGCCTTCCTTTCAGACAATTCAAACAAGGAGCGTATTGCTGACACAGCAACACTGTGGTCTCAGACTGTGGGAAATGTCAAATTTATGGTCCTGGGGGTGATTGGTGGATGGTTTTGTGGTGTGTATGGTGTTTTGTTTTGTTTTGTGTGTGCTTTTTCTTTTCTCTTTTGAGTCTCTGACAGAAACAGAGCTCTACAAACTTTCTGGCGACCTCCCAGGAAAACAGAAGGAAGCTGTATCCTGTACTTCCCCTGGGATCTAATGAAATATACAGCCTCTGGGCTTCTTTCAATTTGGACTTTCAGATCGCTAAGCCAGTGAAAAGGGGATCCTAGCTGTCACAAACGTCACATGGTCAGGGTCACCTGCTGCTCGGGGGTTCTCATGCCAGTTGTTGACATAATAAGCCCCCCTTACACTTTAATTACAATTCACAGTGTGCAAACTATGCAATCTGCTTTAAGGCAGACTGTCTTTTAAATCAACACTAAAATTCTACTACTAATATGGCAATGCAATGTAGCAGAGGAAGGGTGTGTCCACATGACTAACTATATGCAGATATCTGCCGTTTGGGAGACAGTGGGTAGCATTTGCCAAAATATAAAATGGTGTTGCTGACCCCAATTCTGGGAGATGGTACTTGAATCTTACTGTGCTCTGAGACTTCTTTCCATAGGCCACAAAAAGGTAATGCAATATACTTCATGTGTAGCATTTTACATTTGTATAACTACTATTTTTTTTCACATGGCTCCATAACTGTTCTATGTACTAATCTTGCCTATCCAACAGAAGGAGTGTTGAAGAACAGTGAATTTCTACTTCCCTATTTCTTCCCCTTTAAACCTAGGGCAGTGCCAGTGATGTTTAACACATGCTTCTAGAGTTGTGTCAATGCTCTATCATTTACTGGATCCTTGTATTTTGCTAACTACAGACCTGTGTAAGCTATATTTTTGCAATCAAAACATGAAAGGTCATTTTAAAACAGAGCCCATTTAAAATGATATGACAATGCAGGGAGCTGTTTAAAAAGTGCTAACACATAATTATAGTCTACAGTTTTCTCCAAAAACAACAGTGGAAATTAGTTACAATTCTATTACAGACAACTGCTATAAACTTAGGTGGGCTAACCTCTGAATGAACTATCCCAGTACTCTGGGAATTGCAATCTCATTTTCAGTGCCACAAATGACGTAAGATGGAACACACAAAACAAACCCACACAAAGTACTTTATGTTTATGAAGTCTTACTCAAACACCTTAGCTGAGCTAACCAGTATGTCTCACTGTAAAACACCACCACCACCAGTAACAACAAAATAAATAATCAAACAAAATAGAAGAAATCCAAATAGAAAAAAAAAGTTTTAAAAATAATAATGCCTATACTTGCTTTAATGAAGGATGTACCTGAATTACAAATGCCATCATGACAGATTAAATTAGCCAATAATTAGTCACTGCTTTATTTTTTTTTAGTGTCAAACAATGGTAGATACCAAGACAAGTAACAACAAAAGGCAAAAGAGTTTATTTTATTTAGACGTGGTCATTCTAACATAAGGAGAAGATGCATTTTCCTTTCAAAAATTGAGGTCTCTTTGGGCAAACTTTCAGTCCTTTGGCTATTAGGGTTTGTCTTCATGAAGGCAGACATAAAGCAATTCTGTTCTCTTCCTTATTTGAACACTTTCAGTCTTCACCTGGCTCTCTGCCACCCCAGCTAAACCACTTGACCTCTGATTACATAACAGTCCCCATCTGTGAGCTCAGCCATCCTCAGGAGATAGGAGGGGCCATGAGAAGCTCAAGTTCACCATGAGCCACAGCAGTAAGCCATGCTTTAGCCTCTGACCTGTGCTCCAATTTTGGTACAATGATTTCTGCCATGTTCTCCAACAGGTAAGCTCTACCTCAAGGACTAACTTCTGTACCTGTATTTGGTCAAGTGCCCTAGCTCATCTGGAACTGGAGATGTTGACTTGCTTTTCCCTACCTGCCTCCCAAGAACAAAATTCTGGCACGGAAACCCAGGCTAGCACGTGGAGCCCTATGACCCACTGACAGACTTCTCTGACACTAACCTTCTGCCTGGATTACTGTCATCTGCTTATGTTCTCTATTTCTTGGTTCTGTCCAACTTTTGGGACATTGAACTGCCAGTTAGACTTCCATGTTGTATAACACTCCACTAAGCTTACCAGCCAGTGCCTATACTCAGAGCATTTGGAACATGGCTGGACTGAACTTCTTTATGGAACTTCAAAACTACCAATCCCAGAATATCAACCTTCACGTAATTTCAGGTCCTGGCCCTTTACACATCTCATCCCAAGATATAAACTCTATCTGCCAATTCCCTTTTTTTCCCTTGGTAGGTAGGAAACAAAACATCTCTAAAACTCTGTAAAGAGTAGGAATACAAAATAGAATAGAAGTTACCTTATCCAGTACTGTTAGGGCCAGTTGTTGATTGGTTAATTTGAAAAAATGGATGAAGAAGATACTCATTAATGAGACATATGCACCTTAAACATTTTAACTTTGAGCATGTGTATGTACATTCTTTGGCCAATCTTTTTATGCAGAGGCAAAAATTTAAATTTAATAATGTCTGTTAATAATTGGAGCTCCACAGCATCTTTCTTATATAATGCGTATCTATAATGCATCATAAAAGATTTCCAGTTCCATTTACTTTAAGTAGTGGGAGAATTTAAAGATATTTCTAAAATAATCTAACAAAACTCTTATTTTTACAACCTTCTCTCATCTTCTGTAGTTATCTCACTGACATGTAATCTGACAGAAATTTTTGTAGCTTGCCTTTACTGATTCTTTCCAAGGCACTGGGTTAGTTTCATAGAAATAAAACTTTTCCATTTTGAACTTGCATGCCATTGGTTCACATAAATTTAATTAAATTACACAATGGTGATACAAATAAGACTAGTATAAACAGGTCCGGAATAACACAACTGACGTGGTAAGCACACAACTGGTAAAAACAATAGTGCTAGGATGTGGTAGTAGGTAACTGTTGGCCATGAAAATTCAACATGCCAAAGGAATCAGTATATTACAAAGAAAACAAAAAGTCTTGGTTCATCTTGCAAGCTGGTTAATACAGAGTTTCTACTATGAGGGTCTATCCAAAGAAAATATAATCCAAATATACATTGAATGGATATTGTGAGTAGGAATTGATGTTTGATGCATAATGCTTGATGCTGTGATACAATGTTGAAAAAGACATCTTTCCCAGCATTCTGGTATAGCTCTAATTTCTAATATCAAAAAGTAATTAGAAATAATTATAAGAAACTCCTCATTGGAGTTACTGTATTTTAAATGGTAACTGAATTGATACCTCTATCTACCTGCTGTAGGAGGCTTAATATTCAAGTTGATCTAAATATATTTAAAGAACACGAAAAATAGTCAGCTTACCTCCTAATACAGTATTTTCAAATTCTGAACTCTATTTATATTTTTGTTATTTTGTATCGTTACTTCTGTTTTCATTAAATACATGATTGCTGAAGCAGTTTTTAAAATTAGAGGCACTGTGTTAATACAAAAAATCAACTGCCATTTTAACATCACGTAGTCTGACAACTGAAAACAATCACATAACAGTCATAATTTTTCAGTATTTTATGATTTTTCAGGTTATGTAACTATCAGTTTTCACGTGATTGTACTTAAGATCAATCTTTTAGCAATAAGAAGCCTTAATCTCAACCTTCTGCTTTTTATCAGTTTACTTATTATCAGCTTCAAAATAAATGTATGACATAATTGTGTTACATATATGACAATAATGATGGTCACAGTAACAGCTAGCATTTATTGAATGTCTAGCAATAAAAATAAAGTGATTTATATATACATAACTTTCCCAGCAACTTTTGCAAAGTAAACATTACCATCTTCATTTCAGGGTGAGGAAACAGACAGCACTAAGAGAAAAAGCTGGAACTCAAAACCAAATTAACTCCAAACTTAAGTTTTCCCACTTCGACAAGGTGTGTGTATGTACGTAGTAAAGAGATCACGGAGTTCCCTTTCCAGTGAAATTTTTATTTGTACGGATGCATGTGTATGTAGGCATATGCGCACACAAACACACACATACACTTTAGTTAAATCAATTTCATATGCAAAAGAAAAGTGAGCCAGGGCTAAGTTATTAAAAGAAGCCTTTGAAGCAGAGAGTGATGATGTGTGAAAGACATACAACAAAAGTTTATTTAAACAAAGAACAAGCACAGAGGGATGGGACAAAAGTGAAAATAAGAGAAATGAAGGCTCTCCATCTTTTTTCTGTGTCTATGGATTTCTCATACATAGAAAAACAAAACAGTAAGAAAGAGATGTATGCAGTTTATGGAATATCCAAAAGTAAAATTAGTTTCAGCTAGGGCCCAGATGAACTCAACTCCACACTGATTTTTCAACAAAGTTTTTCTATGTGAAACACAATCATGTTATCCTGTAGTAAAGTCCTTGATATTAAACATAATTTCTTACTTCTAAGAAAAAACTCGAGCTATGATTTTAATAAATATTTTTATAGTATCTTTTTCAATGTCATGTTATGAAAGCAAAATTTTCAAGTAGGCTTCAGAAAAGAGATAGAGCCTTTTTACTTTCATTCATTATGCTCTGTAGAACATTTCAATATCCAGTGTACATTTCAACAGGCACTAAATTGGCCCATAATTTTCTTACAATTCAAATTTTTGTCTGGTCATCTTAATTAAAAGTGAAAAATTTGGCCAATCATACAGAAATTATATTCATGACACATACCATGTAGATCATATGGAAGTGGCATGGTACTTGTAAAAATAAACATTCCTCTTTTAGCAAAACAAAGAGCAACATTTACATTGCTCTTGGGGAGCAGAACAAAAAGAGAGGCCAAAAAGTTGCAATGGAGAAAGGTCTTCCAATCTAAAGTGAAAACTAATTTTGTCTGCTTGCATTTAAGTAGACATTATAAAAGTCTTACAGAGACGCCATGCTTACAGAAGGCATTATTGCCTTTGAATATAAATGAAAGCACATTTCTAGCACTTATATTATTACAAATATTGAAAATGGCCTCCAGAAGCTTTTAGCAATGTACGCTTTGTCTTGTTTCCAAAGAAGCAATCCAATTAAAATGATCATTTTCAGCATAGAGGACTAGGACAATGAACCGTACCTTGCACCCAGCATCTCAGAAATACTTTGGGGAAAAATTTATGGAAAATAGATTTGAAACTTCCATATGCTTTCTGTGCACTTTTACTAACCAAGCATAATTTACCAATATTTTCCTAGAAAAGGAACTGCATGTGTTTTTCTGCCTCTTGCAGTAAGTATCCATCCATGATTATTCCAACCCATACCATGTTTGCTTCCTTGAATTCACTATGTCACAGTGTATCTTGTGTACTCAAACTGTCAGCAGGAACATGGTAACGAATATTATTCTTTTTTTCTTTTTTTTGAGATCAAGTCTCACTCTGTTGCCTAGGCTGGAATGCTGTGGCATGATCTTGGCTCACTGGCTCACTGCAACCTCCGCCTCCCGGGTTCAAGCAATTCTTGTGCCTCAGCCTCCTGAGCAACTGGGACTACCGGCGACTGCCACCGCGCCCAGCTAATTTTTGTATTTTTAGTAGAGATGGGGTTTCACCAGAGTTTGAGGCCAGGCTAGTGTCAAACTCCTGACCTCAAGTGATCTACCCGCCTCGGCCTCCGAAAGTGCTGGGATCCACCTGCCTTGGCCTCTGAAAGTGCTTGGATTATAGGCGTGAGCCACCGCATCTGGCCATTATTCATTTTTGATACATTCCTTCCACCTCCCCCATCTAATAGCAAATACCCATGTTAAGCGTAAAGAAGACACTTAAAAAACGTGTTGGCTGAATTATTTTTCTTACAGTAAGATTATTTCATTGTTTGTCCTAACTATAACATCTGGTTAGTAAAGTTTTTGATTTGTAGAAATTATTTCCTTCTGAAAAAAATCAATGTTTACCATGTTGTTGTGGTCTAAATTTTTTCAATTCCATAAACTTAATTCTTGTGGCCATTTTTTCAATCAGTAAGTATGTAAGCACCTTTTATAAATTGTTTTAAAATAGTTTACACTACACTTGATACTGATGAAATTATAAAATAAAAATGTATTGTTTTATGTCTTTCAGGATGTATGTCATAAAAGTTGGATGCCTTCCTTTCAAGACATTTGAATGGATCACCAAATAATTACCTACTTTTCTCTCACAACTCAGATAAATAATTAAAAGGAGATATACACAGATTGGTTGCATACTTAAGAGTGAGAATCAATTAAAACAAAATTGTATGCATGTTCTTCTAATAATATATCCCTACAGGGACCATGAGATGCTACCTTTACATTTGTAAAATTACTGAGGTCAGATCAGAGCCTTAATGCTATTTCTCCATGAGCATTCAGAAGTGGTTGTGCATAGGCGTTATGTGGAATTGGGGCTGGGGAAGATTTAATTGGCAATTTTTTAGTTATTTAGTTTTAGTTATGCCCCAGAAACCAGAAATGGTCACTGAATATTTATTGAGCATGCCTAGAGTGGAAGTTTCTTATTTAAGTTGGTATTTAAGTTGGGACTGCAGTAAGGGGCATCTTTCACAAAGAAACGTTTTGGGATTACCTTTAAATAACATTTAAATCCCCTTCATTAATTGTCTCAGAGCTCTCCGGTGCAACTTAACAATAGGAAGCAGCTGTGCTCCAAACAAAAGAACACACAGCTCTGGGAAGATGCCACCATTTGAGAAATCACACATCATAAGGAAAGGTTGTTACTTCTAATTTAGTTCTGTGGACCAATTCAAGTTTGGGGGTTCCAGAAAGCCTGAAACCCTACCTCTCAGGGCTGTGTTTTAATATTAGGGAACTGTCTAATTTGTGCTTCAGGAAGTTCTGTGCATTTTTACGAAATCCATCTCACCGAAGCCTTTTAGTTAAAAGGCTTGCGTAATTGTGCACACAGATAAAAACTGCACTCATGATATTACATATTTTACTGCATTCTCCCTTGAATCTATCTGCCCATTATTATGGTTAATTATGCAGAGGTTTGGTTCTCTAGCTGGAGGGACAGCTAGTTGAGGGTGAGCTAGTTGAGGACCTTTATTTTTTTCCCTGCACCTAGTTCAGTAGCTGACATAGAAGGGCTTGGTAAATGCTGGCTCAATTAGATTTTTCAGAACTTTCTCAGACTAATGTTTGCTTATCACCGCACACATGTACAAGAACTACTTGAAACTCTTGAAAAGGAAATTTAGTCCTTTAAGGGTTCAGAAATAACAATGAAAGATAACATTCTCACCAAAAAACAAAAAAGCTCAAAACCAGGAAACACTTGATACAGGAGCTCATGAGAATACTTATTCTCTCATTTATTAAACTAAGAAAGTTCTCAGGATCATGTTGGCAGTAGACCATTTCTGGCCCTGAGATGAATGCCCTTTTTCCAAGTTAAAACCATGGCCCAGCTGTGAAATAATGATGGCTGCAAGGAACCCAATGGTGGCAGCAAACTCAACTCAAAGGCCCAATATTTGTAGGCACCAAACAGACAAGCCAGCAAAACAGGAGTGGTGACCAGATGTCAGCAACGGCCCGAGGGCATCCCTCTCACCTCCCCTCACACATAATGCTACTTTCTTCCCCCACCCATTAAGTGTGGCATCAAGAGCAATTACAGCACACCCCCAATGGACCGTGCCAGGTGGGGAGCTGTAACACCTGTCACAAGGCCTGCATGACATTAACGAGGACCCAGAAAGTAGCTTTAATGAGCTGACCCTGCCACAGATAGAACCTAGTGTGGTGTGGTGTATGCTGTGACTGTTCCAAAGATACTGCTCCCTATACGAAGAACCGGACCAAACACATACATTCTGAAAGCCCAGTTCTTCAGAGTGCCACTGCATATCACGAAATGAAACATGAAAGTCTGTGAAGTACACGTTTCACTTGGTGTCAGCTTAATGTTTTGTCCATCTGGAAATCCTTATCAATGGCATTCAGGTGATGAACTTGGGTTGTGTCTTGACACTCTTTTTGTGATAGAGTTGTAACTTTGGGAGTTGTAAGCTCCTTTTAAGAGAAGATGCATTTCTACCCCATCTAGCTCTTCCCAGTGCCCAAAAGCCAAGTACATGGCAGATGGCTGGAAGAATGAATGCAAAAACAGATGATGTATGAAAATTACTTAATGCTTACAAAACTTATCATGAGACAAACGGTCAAAAAAGTAAAATGGTTAAGAGACTGACAGAGCTCATTTTGGTTCACGGTCAACATTTACAGGTAAAGGGAATGAGTTCAGGATTCTTGAGCATCCAAGACACTGGCCTGTAAAAAGTCATACAATGCTTAGTCAACTTAATAAAATCACTAATATGCTAAGATACTAAGGCTACTAATAAAGAACTACAGACGAACCAGTGAGCCAATTTCACATCAGGAGCCCAGCAGGTGATGTCTAGGAGTAAGTACTCGGTACACGTTAACAATGATTATACTTCTGATTGCAATAATTAATAAGAGATATTAGCCTAGTGATTTACAATGTGTCCTCCATAAATCAGTCATCCCACCTTTGAAGGGGATATTATGGACAATAACGCAAAGATAGTTGCTTCCAGATTTTTTTTTTAAGAGTTGGAAGGAATCTGAGACATTGTTTTAGTCTAATCCCTTCATTTTTCAGAAGAGGAAACTGATGCCCCCAAAAGATTAATATACTGCATCTGAAGTCATGCAGGGGTTCTGTTTCTCTTTCTGCCTAAAGAGAACCATAATACCTAGCTTCTATCAACCCACACTGTCATAGTAAATGATTATCAAGAGTTGCATTTTAAGTATACGGCATAAAGGTTAGTACAAATCCAAGATAACGTTACTTTTTCAAAATAACGTTGATGAACATATCTACTGTTAATTCCACTCCTAAAACAACAATCATTACTACAACTATATTTATGTCTTGGCAACTTTCCGAGAGATCCTGGAAATGGTAATACTTGTAAAGGAGTTCCAGTTCCTCTTTTTAAACAGCATTATTATTAGATCTTCACAACAGGATAACTATATTTAAATACTAAGTAGCTTATGATTCATATCTTCGAAATAAAATAGTTCACTTCCATATGCAAAGCTTGTCTTCAAACTGTGGACACATAAAGCAGCCACTAGAAAATAGTGGTTTTTAATTATGTGCCGGATTTAGTTATTTTGATTCTTTGGGGTTCATATAGGGTTTATAGGACTTCCCTCAGTTTATGGGGTTCAGACAAGGCTCATAGTGAATTTCACCTGGAACTTTTCACATGGTTTGAGCATTAACCAGGGATTGAGTGGTTTATAGATCATCCAAAAGAATTTCTGTCTTGGACTCTTGCCGTGAGCTCTAAGTATTTAAATTCCAAATGAATTTATATCACAGAATGACTACAAGTTTTTAGTAACTGTTTCTATTTTCTTATTTTTGCTATTTTAAATGAAAACCATGAAGTAGATACACAGAGAGGAGAATGTGATAATCCAAAGTTTTAAAAAAAACAAAAATAAAAACCTAAATGTCTTGATATCTATATATTTAACAGTTTACAAAGGACTTTCATATATTAACTTAGTGGATACTAACCACTGACCTTTGTAGAATATAATGAGATCAGTATTTATCCTAATATTATCTCACTCTTTACCTACGTAATTATGTTTTCTAACTGAAAGATTTATGAAAAATAATAATCAATTATTAATAGAATTTATTTTGTGAACAAAGTGTTAAAATCATTTTTATAACATTTTTTCCCCTGAAGAACAAAAGCTTCGACCATAATATATGGAAAACATTTTGTTGCCTATAGTTAGGACTTTGAACTTTGAAAATTTACTTTATATTTATGGAAATGTTTTCAGGGGATGTTATAATGAAGTTTTCCTGTGTATACGATGTTTAAAGAGTTAACACAATGAATGAATACTTACAAAACAAAAACCATGCCCCTCAATTTAATTCTGCATACATAATCTACAAGATTTCAGGATGGTGTCATAGCTTTTAGTTAAGAAAAACCCATCTAAATTTTATAGGTTGAAAGTTAGCAAAAACCCAAGTATGTCCTCCTCATACTAATGCATGAAATGCCATTTCTGCTTATATTTTGAAGACTCAAATTCATCCCAGCCATTTTTCTATACATAATACATGTTTGAGTTGGACAAACCTAGCAAGAGGACATTTAGTTCCATTTATTTCAATCTACTGAAAGTATTTAATGAAGAAAAAAATGTTTAAATCTCAAATATATCTCAGGGAACAGACCAGCAATTCATATTGCTCAGTCTACTTAATGGTTGACAATTTAAATCTAGACAGGTAGAAATAAAATTTTAGCATAATTCCCTGAAGTCTATTAGGTGTGTACGTAGAAAACGCATTTATGTGAAGTAAATTATTATGCCATTTAAAAGGAGGAGGATGATACTCTTTTGTTTGAGGAAAAATTCAAGATTTAGGCCTCTAGCCAGAACTCACAAATAATCTAGGGTTTTTAAATAATCAATACCAATTATGAAAACACTGTCACATTATTTGAATCCTACTTAAAAGTAAATAATACTCTTCTGAGAATGTCTGACCCAAACCCAGGTGACCACAAGGTACTAGATTATTTAAGTCCATCATTTGTAACTTATAACCATATAATTTAACTCACATATACATTCAAGGTATACAACAGCTAAACCCCTAGCCCTTCAGTTTCCCTACACACAGCCTCTCTCACCTATCCTGGCAGACCCAGGCCTCTGGCTGTGAAGAAAACCACAATGTGGGGAGGAAAGCCTACAAAAGAATGAAAACAGACAGTGTCTAAGGCCTTGGCAGAAGGACACTAAATAAAATAGAGAGTGGTGACTCATTTTGGCAGTGAATCCACCTCAACCCCTTCAAAGCCTTTGGCAAGAGTCCTCAGAGGAGACCCCAGCCTTTTGCCAAGCCACAAAACACCACAATTATTATCGCAGCAGTCATCAACAAAACAGATTTTGTAAACTGACTTGTTGGCACATAGATTAAAGAAGCTATAAAAAGGAATAACAGCTGTTTGGGTTGCCCTATGCAGAAAGCTACTATATAGAAAGTAAATTTTATATTTCAATACATACTTGGGTAGACACCAGCATACACATACACCCCATGTACTAATTACACGTGTATGCTACGTAGAAAAGGGTAAAATGCTAAATATACCACCACATAAATTTAAAACACAAACAACTCTTTTAAAGTAAAATACTCACTTTGGAAGGACTAATAGAAAAAATTTCCTAAAGAAAAGATTTCTGCAGTTCACTAATTTAAAACACGGACTGTGTCTACAACAGCAAAATGAATAAAGTTTCTCTCAAAATACTAAAAAGTACTATGCTTTTTCATATAAGCAAGAATGGTGATGTGGGAATTTGCAAAAATATGCCTTATTCTACCTACGTAAACACTGCCTGATTGGCATTTTATACTATAAATCTAGAATTTTGTCATGCTTCAGGCAATTTGAAAAAATTCTACTTGCTTACATACTCATAACTTGTTACGAATAAGTAAAAATGACATATTTTAAAATGATTTAATTTTTGCCTCAGCTACAACAACGTTAGTCATCTGAATAAATCATCAATGAATATGTAATAGAAAAAAAACAACAAAATTGACAAGTAATAATCAGTATTACACATTCTTAATCTGAAGATTTAAAATGCACTATGATTTACTGTAATGAGGTGTGGACTCTTGGTTTTCTAATTTAAAAAGAAAGGTTTTATTTGAGTTCCTTGTCACTAACTTACAGTACAATATGTAAGAATTGGCAAGAAAGACTTTTAATTAAACTATTTTACATTTGTAACATGTAACATTACAAATATACTCTGGAAATATGTAAGAAGGGATCTGCTACACACCTTGCATATCACACATTTGCCCTGCTAACCTCTAAATGCCTCCATAGCTTTATGTTGAAATTTCCAGAACTGAAGCATCTTAATGAACATTGATCTTCTACGCTGAAGGATACAGAGTTCAGATTTCAGCTCTGTCAATAACATTTGGTTTTACCTATTGAATGATTGGGCCTTGGTTGACAATTGCTTACTAGGTGAGAAAAGACTAGAAATAAACATACGAGAAGCTTTGATGGCTACTAACATTGTTGCCTAAATGGCAGGAGAAAATCATTAAAAAAAGGACCGAAAAGTCACATTTCTTGACTACCCCTTGTGATAGAGAATATACAAAATGTACACACCACCTAAGGGCTCCATGACTGAACAAATCCTAAAGCTATAGATTTTTCAAAACTCAAGCTATATAAACTATATCGCTCTATAGTATTATCCCTAGCTGATTCCACTACCAATTGAGATAAAAACAAAACGCCAGTACCTTCATGACAACCAGCCTTTTTTAACAGCTACTTAAGCATTAAATAAAATGTTTTATCACCTAAAAACTATCTTTAGGAATGCAGGTCTCAATCAGAATATAAAACCTAGTCCATTGCTGATATTAAACAGAAGATCTATTTAAGGAATTCACTGACTAAACTAACTGCCTGGAGAAGTTAATTTATCTGTCTATTTTTTAAAGGATCACACAGAAAAATTTCAACAACTTGTGGAAACAAATTCACTTCTAGGTCATTCTTCAAACTACCACAAATCCTGCCATTTTCAACTTAGTTTAGTACTGGTTATTTATATAATTAACCATATCACAGAGTACAAACTGCAGAGGGTTCAAATAAAATTCTTTTTTCCAGGCTTTGTTTTTTAAGTTCAAACTATCTTCCCTTATTACCATTTCCTCAGCTTCTTCTATCTACCTTGGAATCCAAGCACATTATGCAGCCAGCACAATGAACCAACATGCCAGCAGAAGTAGTATGCTCCACCTATCCAAGAATTTTAAAAGCATCCAAGCACACACACTGTCTCCTGTGTAGCCTGGAGATCCCTATTGAGCTCATGCCAAGTGTCTGAAAAGTTGGACCCTGCATCCGGTATTTACACTAAGCTAAAATTCTAATCAGCACTAACAGCAGTATGTTTTAATTCACCCTTATGATTTTATTTCAATCTGCTAAGTACCACAACTGCCAGAAAGCAATTGCTATAAACTTAAGTAAACAAATGCAAAACTAAAATAAATCTTAAACCTGTTGTATATAAAGTTTGTGCCACTTCAGGCAAGCAGTACAAAAAGGCACAGCCCGAAGTCTTAGTTAACGCTCTTCGATCTCATTTAGAAAGCTCTTTGAAAGTATTGCCTTGTCTAGGCTTTTCCCCTTTCTAAAGAATTATTTTGTGCATATTAGATAAGGTAAAGAAAATGACCATGTTATTTTACAGTGGTTTTTCACCTCATGTATTCCCCTGAATAGTCTTCTGCCAAGCATGTGAAACAAGTAGTACGTGGTGACTACTTGAATCTCTGGATGACACTACAGCCACTCGTGCCAAGGAGATGGTGCCAAGTCTTGCATCTTCGGGTTTGTGGTTTTTTTCCTTCCTTTTTGGGTGGTAGTTGTGTGGGGGGAGGGGGTTGGCAGTGGGGGAATCTGACCAACAGATTCTGAGAAGTTGGTCACCATTTTGAACCTGTTCAATGTGCTCAGACCTTGGCAGCCATCTTACAGCTTGGCAACCATTTTGAGAATTTGTTTGGCAAGCTCTCAGAATTCACTGACACTGTTTAAATAGAACGCTAGTTAAAAATAGTCCACATTAAACAATACAATGTGATATCAGGTAAAATAACCCCCAATAAATCTTGCCAACAAAACAATTTACAACATCCTCACTGAGGTAATGATATCCCAATTTCCTTAACTTAAATACATTGCACGAAAGCAGCTTAAAAATCTAATTCTTTAACCCTTTAACAGACAAGCTCTTAAGAAACAATGTCAGAGGGGCACCAGTTAGTAGGAAAGTGGAAGGTATAAGGAAAGAAAGATGGCCAAAAACACAGCCACGATTGACATCAACACATTCCCAAGCACTTTCAAATTCAACATATAAAATAGAAGGGAGAGGTGCTGTCATCACATTCCATCAGGTATAATTCTAGAAAACGATCACAATATTTCAGACTGTCCCACTTCATGTTTTATGAGCTCATGGAAACTCTCTTAAGGAGTCATGCAGCACAAAACTCTCCTTAGGTAAAGAAATTATAAACCAAAAACATGTAATCTTATGAACTGGACTAAAAAAAAAAAAACAAACCCCAAAAGACAAAATTTGCAGGTGCTGATTTTTCCAAAATCAAGAGTTACGTATACAGTTTTCTGACAAAGTGGTCATATTCAACTTCACTCTTTTCCCTTACGTTTCAACATTTCTAACTCAATAAAAAATAAGTTCTGTCCTTGAAAATATTTCTCGATGTCTACAAACCTGAAATACAAATGACAATTTTGCACTGGTGTGACTCTGGCATCATTACCAGACCTATATAGTTTTGTAGAAAACTGAATTAACCAAAATGACAGTGGGTGATAATTTTATAACATATGAAAAAAGAAAATTACAATCTAGTAATTTGAAAATATTTTTTGTCCATACTGAAATAAATAACACTTTCATGTATACTTCAGTATCTTCTCTTCAATATTATCAATATTTAATATCATGTCAGTATGGGGGGAATATTTACGATTAAAAAAAAGACCCCATTGTGTACGGTTTGTGGAAAAAAAAGTCTAAATGAGCTAGCCTGTGAACCTACTCTTATAGTTAAATCATAAATACGGTGATAAAGCCTAAAGAATTTTGAATCTTGTGATGTTAAAAGACAAAAATTTACAGTCATTAAATAATGACTGTTATTTTTGTTATTTGAATTTTAATGCTTTTGGGGGCATGATGGATACCTGACTTGTATTCTAGTTTCAATGGTGATATAACTTACAATGGCACTGAAAAAGAAGGCTAAAGCCATCCATTAATAACAATGTTTCCACTACTGCAGTGCTTTTTACACTTGAAAGCTGAATTTTAAAATTTCTATTGAAATTCAACAAAGAAAACATTTTACTTCACTTAATACTATACAGAGTGAAACAATTAGTTAAACCATGATCGAAATTAGAACATCACGTAGAAAGACATTATGCTGAAATGGATCCATCTGAAGTCTTTATACTATTAGATGTCTCTTTATTGAATGACAGTATCTGCAGAGATATGACGTAAACCATGCTAGAATAGTTTGGAATGCATTGATAAATTGCTCTATCGATCTCGTTCTGCTTCACTTACCATAATTATAGCACAGTAATGAAAGACATGAATGATATATTTTCACTAGAGAGGAAACCCCAGAATTTGCCTGTTTCTTTATGAGATTATACCAAATCCTTTCAATTAATACAGCATAGTTGATATCTAACACTATCTGATGAAAAGACACCCAATTCTAGTGTTCCTTCTTAAATATTATTGTTCAAATATTTGACAATTATTTCGAATAATATATTAAGTGTTTAAAGACATAGCATTTGCTCCTCTATAAGATGCTGTTTCAACACAATTTTATACAAACATTATTTCACTCAGAAAGCTATCTTTTGAAACTTTAAGCCACCTTACAAACACAATTTTATCACCTTATATTCATAGAACATGCTAGAAGTTACCCCAAAGTTTTTCAAGGATAATTCTAATAAGAGTTATTATGTTGAAGAAGAATACATATTAGAATGAAAGATAGATAAGCAACTAAAAATATTTTCAGAAGAGAAAATTAATGATTTAATGTTATCTGATAGTCCCGATAACGAGATTTCATAGAAAAGACTCAAAATAAAAATAAACACTTTTTAACAGACATCACTTATAATAATTATTCATTATCCATAATTATTTGGTATCCATAAAAGTAATCATTTAGTTTCAAAGAAACCAAAATCTGCATTAAAACCACGCAAGCATTAGAGCTGTTGTTGTGCCACTTTATTCTTCGTGATATTGCCATTCTAGAGTACTACTAAGAAAAGACACCAGGTTTTCCCAAATGGATACATTTAAAATTAAAAGTGTCATTCCAAGTTATGCAAAAGGAACGTGAGAAATCCTGAACAGGATATAACTGAGTCTTAACAACTTACAGCAAGATTGGGATTGCTTTTATTTTAAAATATTCATTAATGAAAATATTTCATTTTATTTGCTTTTGCTGTGAAGAAGGAAAATAAATATTGTAAATTTTTCAAAGAAAAATCAATTTATGGAAAAGAAATTCCCCCAACAACTAAATGGTATAAAAATTGATCTATTCTTCCCTTCTCAAATTACAAAGGCTATCGTGGGAATAAAATGTAACCCAGGAGAGCTGTGACAGCTATCAAACTTTCCCTGACACATTATAATGTCTGAAGCCCAGACACCAAAGGTTTACATCAGAAAAACTCCAGCATGTAGGGGACAACTCAAAACCAACTATCGACCACGCTATTGATTTTTAGTGGAGAAACCAAGAGGGAAAAGCACCAGAAAAGACAGAATTTCTTTTTTCTTTTCTCATCCTCAACTTAGTGCGCTGCCAAACTTAGGTCTTCTCAGGCTTGAGCCCTGTGAGCTTGCATTGCAGCTAGCCAGGATGTCTGTCTGAGATAATTCAAGCTGAAACCAAGCAGTGTACGGTGGAAGGCAATTCTCCATTGACTTGCAACATAACCTCAGAGACAAATGCAGTTTCTTGACAGAAGGGTACAGGAGACAAGGGAACAACTGCAAAACTAAAACATATAATTTTCTTTTCCGATGATGTCTGAAGATACCGCATATGACTCTGAAAGTTCATAAATTATGCTCGACTCAACAACTGCTAGGAAGCTAGGCCAATCATATTCGAAACCATTTAAATGTAGATTATGGACAAGGTGTTACAGATAGATTTATTTGGAAATTAAGGAGTAACCCACTTACTCCCAAATTCCAAACTAATGACACAGAAAACTCTAAGTTAATTTTTAAAGAGCTAACTTCTTCCCTTTCACATAAATTAACACAAAATGGGTTATTCGAGAAGCTAAAAGGTAACAAAGCAAACTGCTTGCTTTAGCTCCTTGGGGTCTTAATCACATAATCTTGAATTGGTTGAGGATCATTTACTTGGATCATTATAATCATATCCTACAAGTATTCTGCCATTTAATTTGTGAAATGCATGACCACAGAGCATGTACATACAAAGAATTATTAGATGCACTCATTTTACTATTAAATTTAGAGACGGCTTTGAGCCATTTGAAAATACTAACAATAATAATAATGATTAATAATGATGCACTTCCATTCTGACTCACAGAACTATCTCAAGAGGTTTTACAGCTGTTCCCTAATTAAGTCTCATATTCCCCACTCCCTTACTAGGTAGATGAGTACTGTGATGCCAATTTTATATCTGGGAAAGCTGAGGCACAGCAAAGTGGTAAGGGTAAATCAAGGTCCTACAGCAGGCACAAGAATGAAAACAAGAATGTAGTAAACTCACAAAATAGTGCATCTTGAAATCCATATTTGAAAACAATGATGGGAGAGGAAAAAAACTTGCATGGAATAACTAATGAAGAAACAAAAGGGCTTATCTCCTGTTGATTCTGTTGATTAAAGAACACCCACAATGGGTTTTATTTGTTTGTTTACTTGCTTTTACCTATTCTGCCAATGATGAAAACACTATTTGTTTTCTGAATTTCAGTTTTAATATACATAAGCACAATATTTTCTCTGCCAGAGATTTATCAGTCAATTGTCAAACTAATTCTTCTGTTGCTAATGTCATCCAACAAAGATGAGCTTCTCATATTACCTTCTGTTTAACAGAATTACAAATCACCACTAAAGAACTTACTCATGTAACCAAACACCACCTATTCCCCAATAACCTATGGAAATACAAAATTAAAATAATAATAAGTGCATATTTTTCTGAGTTGGGAGAGTGCTTTGACTTGCGACATGGCTATGTAAGTTTGATGTTCTCAATAATGCAAATGAGAGATAACTATATCACCAACTATTTTAGGGTTAAGAAATGCTTTGATCATTTATTCATTCAACATGGTGGTGGAGAGGTGAGGCACATCTCCTATGTGCCATGCAGTGATCAAGGTGCTAGGAATAGAGCAGTGAACAAGAGACAAAAAGTCCCCACCCTTCAGGAGCTTATATTAGACTGGACTTGAGAAGAAGGGTTCTAGATATGTATTAATTAATTCATTCAACAATTATGAAACACCTCAGCCTCTGGAATAAAAGTATGAAAGAGTCATTGGCTATGGCTTCAAAGAGGTTGTTCTGTTTTCTTCTTAGAAAATTTAATTTTCTTAAGATATTCTCACTGGTGACAAGCAAAAGAGTGATTGCCATAGCTCTTTGGGCAGGAAATGATTAGAGAAATGGACCATATCTGCCTATGGACTAAGTCCTTGGTTATGTCCTTCACACGTTAATACCACTGATGAATACACTGAGCCATTTTAGACAATAAGGAAAAGAAAGAAGTTGCAAAAATAACAAAATGATCACAAACAAGAAAGAAGTCCTTTCTTGAAAAAAAAAAAATCCTGTTTAGTACCTGTTAAAAACATATCCAAGTAATACTATTAGGCCAAAGTGTGGCTTGGAAGGTGTTTGTTAGCCCTACAACTTCGGCATTTTCTCTTTCTCTGTGTAGTATTTTTGTAGGTAAGGGTCATGATTTGGGGTTTAGATGTGATGAAGTACATTGGTGAGAAATCATATCAAATAAATAACGTAAAAATTATATAAAACACCTGCCTTAAAAGCACAGAGCAAACACTGCCGTCTGTTATTTTGTTCAAAGATAGCTTGTGCCATATGTTTGGGGACCCTAACTACAAGTACCCTCAAGATACAGCCCCTGCTTCACACCTATTTAGCTAAAGAACTCTCTCAGATGGCTACTGGGTTTGTCAGCTCTAAATAGGATGGCTGTTCCCATGTTGATACTGACCTAGAGAAATTGGCTTCTCTCTGCCCTCTCTTTCCACCTTTTTTTTTTTTTTAAGATGGACTTTTCTCCAAAACAATAAGTATACCTTGAATTGGATGCAGATGAATTGCCCATTTCAGGCTGTTTTTAACGTGTTCTGAATCAGCAGTAGAACATAAGATCAGCCCCAAAGTAGGGATAAGAGGAGGGAAGTGAAGTTCAGAACCATGTAAATAACATATCATTCCCCACTGATCTGTCATCCACATTGTCAGGCACTAACCTAAAACAACTATGTGTCTCTATAATAGCAAGACAATCTTCAGTTGAGTGGGGGAGCCAACTCAGTCTTTTTTCTTACAAATGAAGCTGAAAAACCTTTTGTCTCTTTCTTTTTCTTTTTCTTTTTTTTTTTTTTGAGACAGGATCTTACTCTGTCACCCAGGATGGAGTGCAGTGGCACTATCACAGCTCACTGCAGCTTCAACTTCCCAGGTTCAAGCGATCCTCCCACCTCAGCCTCCCAAGTAGCTAGGACCACAGGTGTGCATCACCACACCCAGCTTTTTTTTTTTTTTAAAGAGATGGGGTCTCACTATGTTGCCCAGGCTGGTCTCAAACTCCTGGGCTCAAGTGATTCTCCCACTTCAGCCTTCCAAAGTGTTGGGATTACAGGCATGGGCCACCAAACCCAACCTTTGTTCATTTTTTTTTATTTTTTATTTTTATTTATTTATTTATTTATTTATTTATTTATTTATTTATTTTGAGATGGAGTCTCGCTCTGTTGCCCAGGCTGGAGTGCAGTGGCGCCATCTCGGCTCACTGCAACCTCCGCCTCCCGGGTTCACGCCATTCTCCTGCCTCAGCCTCCCGAGTAGCTGGGACTACAGGCACCACCCACCACACCTGGCTAATTTTTTTGTATTTTTAGTAGAGACGGGGTTTCACCGTGTTAGACAGGATGGTCTCGATCTCCTGACCTCATGATCCACACGCCTCGGCCTCCCAAAGTGCTGGGATCATAGGCATGAGCCACCGCGCCCAGCCCCTTTGTTCATTTTTAAAAATTGCCTGTGATGTAGTAGTTTCATTCCTTTATTCACTCAACAAACACTGGTCCTCCTGTCCATTATGCCTTTCACTGCAAGTGGCAACTTATTTTTGTGGGAATAGCTTCTTTCTTAAGAAAAAAGTCTTAAAAGGGGTATAAAGGCTTGACTAGGATCAAGACAGGACCTACCAGGAAGAGGGAGGAACTAAAATAAGAAGCCAGGGGAACCACAGACAGATGCCAACTGGTATGGCCAATCGCAGCTATTGTGTTTTTAGGAAACAATGCAGATGTAGCCACTTAAAAACAACAACAAAAAAAGTAAAACAACATAAACTGTATTTTTAATTTAAAAAGCCTATTCAGGAAGTGCAGGCAGTCAAAATACATACTCAGTCTTCTTGAGTAACTTGTAAGTCATCCGCTCTCAGACCATTAAAGCAGCACAGCTAGAAAGGAGGGAATATTGACAGTTTTATGGTAACACGAAAAGCACAACCTTTTTTTTGCCTAAAGTAGTTAAATACTGCATCTCTTGCTGGGACTAGAGCTAACCATTAGGGGCCTCTCTGAGGGACTACTTTCTTTTATATGCTAGTATTTATGAAGGGATTAGTAAGGGCAAAGTAATATGGTAGGTGGGTAGAAACAAGAGAACAAACTTTCAGAGCTCACAGAAGAGTTGGCAATCGGAACAGAGGAGGCAGACGTATACCCGCATAACGCAAGGATTATCAGCATCAAGCATTCAAAACCACAAAGCTGGGTCTGTGGTCTCAGGAGCCACTTTTTTTTTTTTTTTTTTTTTTGAGATGGCGTTTCACTCTTGTTGCCCAGGCTGGGGCGCAATGGCACGATCTCGGTTCACCGCAACCTCCGCCTCCCGGGTTCAAGCGATTCTCCTGCCTCAGCCTCCTGAGTAGCTGGGATTACAGGCATGTGCCAACACTCCAGGCTAATTTTGTATTTTTAGTAGAGATGGGGTTTCTCCATGTGGGTCAGGCTGGTCGCAAACTCCCGACCTCAGGTGATCCGCCCGCCTCGGCCTCCCAAAGTGCTGGGATTACAAGTGTGAGCCACCGCGCCCAGCCAGGAGCCACTTTCTACATTAGGTCTTTGTGTGGAAAGGAGAGCCATTCTCTCACTTCCCCTTCTGACCAGATGATTTAAAACAAGAAACAGTTAAGAGGTCAAGGATCTCTTCACAGCTCTCTGTAGATCTACCTATAGATTCTCAGTAGAAAATCATAAATTATGCCAAGCAACTATTGAAACTAATGTAATGGAAACCAATTTTGTAGCTTTGTGGATACACTGACCCATGGCCAAACACCCTCCCAAGGAGAGACCACAGCTATCTCCAGGAGGCTGCTGGCACAGAAGGGAAAGTGTAATTATTGATTGAGCACCTCTGCGTCGGCACTGTGCTAGGTTTTTTACTTATGTCTATTAATTTCATCTCACAAATCCTCTTTGAGGTGGTTACTATCATCCCAATTTTACAGATAAAGGAACTCGGGCTCAGAGAAATTAAGGAATTTGTTCAAGGTCATAAGGCCCCAGGATTTCAACCACCTCCTCCAATTATAAATTCAAATATTCATTCTTCTATTCACAGCACAAGTAGTAAGCACCAACTATGACGAGACTCTTCTGACTTCCCCAGTTTCAGTAGGTTCCCCTTCACTGGGCTCCTCAAATACCTGCAGCATGTTGCTACCACAGGCCTTTTTAAATAGCTTAGCATCGTGACGGTCAACTTACGGAACTTTCTCCCGTCACCTATGAACTGAGTTTCTCAGTATGGTCTGTGGGCTCCCTGCATCTGAATCACCTGGTATTCAGTAGCATGATCTTTGGCCTCTAGTTCAGAATCTCTGCATTTAAGGCTTGGGAAAATACTTGCTTAACAATTCTTTCCAAGTGATTTTTGTGCACACAATAGTTTGAGAATAATTTCTGTATAAGATTTTTTCTAGGCTGCCTTTCATCTACAAAATCCAATGCATAGCTTAGACAAGAATATAGTAGGTACTGAATCAATGTCTGTGAAAGGCAAGGAGGGAGGGGGAAAAAAGAAAGAACATTTTTTTAAAAAGCAGTGCTCCAGAGTCCAGAGACAATATAAAGGCACTAAATACACACTCTAGGAGCTTAGAATTTATTTAGCAAAGACAATATACACTCAATTACAATTCTGAGAAAAAAATAGAACAAACCAGAACTAAAAGAGTGGTTAAAACCCAACGAAAAATTCTTGCCAAATGAATTTATGAGCAATGAGTGAAAAAGCAAGAGTTCAGAAAAATAAACTTGGGGTGACGTAAGTACCCACAGAGAGTTTCTTGGAGATGGAGCTTGAGATGGGTTTCAAAAAAGAAAAAAACTTACATAAAAAGGGAAGAAAGTAGAAAGTGTTTATACTTAGAGCAGGAAAAACTAAACTAAACTGGAAAGGAAGATGTTTTTTAAAAAAAACTCCTGTCACAAGTGTTTTTTAAAAAAATCTCTGTGCATTAATTTTTGCCACAATTAATGGAACTAATATTTACAGGCCAGCAAGTTTGAAATATAGTGCCAATAAAAACTTTTACAACTCTGGAAATTTCTAAAATTGGTTCTCTTTAAATTTGTAGCATAGGCAGAATACTGGATGATGTGGTACAGTAAAAACATTTTTGGCATTTAGTTGAGATGACCTGCATAATTCACTTGTGGCTTTACCACTTATAACATGTCATCTCAAACTCATGGCAATAAAACTTTTATGTAATATTGCTATACTATGCTTTACATAAATATGTACATATATAATATATATGGCTTAATTTTCCCTTTTAGTTAAAATGAGTCTAGCCCAATCACTCAGAGGAATATTTGTAAACTTGGATTATTCATAATTAGTGGTTGTGGAATGCCTATAAAACTGAAGGGCTACCCAATGCCATGCTTTATTATTCAGATATAACCTACTCAATATTTACTTCTACAAACGTAGAAGTAAATTAAGGGAAAAACTATTAGAAAAATCCAGAATCACTGTTCTGTTCTGTTTAATCTTTGTGGACTTGCTTTATACTTTCCCAATGCATTACATTTCTTTTTTGCATATTGAGTTCTGTTTTGAGCCCTCAATCAAGAAACTGAAAACTAAGGTTCCAGCCTCAAACCCGTCACTAACAGCTGGGTAATGATAGTAGTCACAGAATTTCTTTGAAAGTCAGTTTCCTTATCTATAAAATAGATGATATAGGCCCTCTCAGAATGCAATACTGTTGTATTATTTCTTGTTTTGTTTTTTTTTGTTGTTGTTGTTTGTTTGTTTGTTTTTTACACTGAGGCATGGTCTCTCTGTGTTACCCAGGCTGGAGTACAGTGGCTATTCTCAGTTACAATCACAGCTCACTGTAGCCTTAAACTCTTAGCTCAAGCAATCCTCCTGCCTTAGCCTCCTGAGTAGCTGGGACTATAGGCATGTGCCACTATACTCAGCTTAGACTGCTATTTTTAATCTTAAATTGGCTGTTATATAAGCAGGTCTTACCTTATATACAAACTTCTTAAAGGCTGAGCTATTTTACAATAGCTAAATACAATAGCACCAAGTTGAGTCCTAAGCATATAAAAGAACATGGATATTTTTTGAATGGATCTGAATTTTACATATATATAATAATTGTGTCATTTACTATTTTAAAAACATTATGTGATTACATTTTCAGCATATAAGCTAATGACATTAATCTAGGCATAACATCTAACAAAGAAATGGTAAGCAGTGGCAACATAAACACAATTTATATCCTAATTCATAGGACTTTATTTTTATTCCTGAAAAACCATTAAACATTGGTCAAACTTTAGTGGTGACATCAAATATGTGTATAGTGATACTTTATATCCAGTCATTGCTTAGTTCCAATATGCAAAAGAAAAAACCAGGAAATTTTAAAGTAACTGTCCCAGAAAACAGCTGTGTAACTATAAAATTATCTCAGAAACACAGAACTTCATGAGTATCAAATTTGTTAAAAATATACATTTCAACAAATAACAAAGAGCCAGCCACTGAGCTACATGCTAGAGATGCAACGAGCTTTACACTCTAGTGGGGGTCACTAGTAGCTACAGTATAATGTGATAAGTACTGTGGCAGAAGTATACAAAGCTTCTCAGGAAACAGGGAAGGTAAGTCCCTAACTGCAAGAAAGTGTGTGGAATGGTTTTCCAAGTGATCCAATGCCTAAACTGAATGTAAAGAAGAGCTGGAGTTTTCCACACTGTGAAGCCATTTAGATGGAGAGTGTCCTGTAGAGAAACCAGAAGACGCAATGGCCCTGCACTGACACTGCAGTACTGAGGCACTGGTAAAGCACAGCACCTTGGTAAACTGTAAGCATGGCAACCCAGCTAGAACACAGAGCTGGAGCAGGGTGTGCCCAAGTGTGAAAAACGGGATGCGGGTGAGGAGAGTGGACTTTATACAGCTGGTGAGAGGGAGTCAATGAAGGTATGTTAACAAAGGAGCAATAGTTGTTATTTCAGAAAGATCACTCTGGCAGTAGTGTAATGAAGGGATAGATGATTGGGAAAGACTGGGAGTAAAGAGGTTACAAAGTCTAGGTTAGAAATAATAAAGGTCTAAAATTGAAGGAAACATAGGGTAGGATAGGAATTAATTTGCATGCTAATGAAAAGGTGGACTCGGGGAACTTAGTGGATGATTAGATATGAAACATGAAAGAAGAGTAAGAGATAACTTCTAGGTTATGATTTGACAGAAATATTTAAGGGGTGATACCATTAGATGCCATTCCTTCCTATTCATATAACTCTCATAATTCAGAACACCCACTTCACAGTAGGTCTTTCCATCAAATTACTGTCAAATTATTTTAAGGTTATTTCTAGATATTCTGTTTTTTATTGCTCTCCTGAATGAGATCTTTTTTCTGTCACAGCTTCTTATTGGAGATGATTATATAACACAATTTTTGGCTTTGGGATGTTTATCTTTTAACTAGATCTTCTGCTAAATTTTCTTATTAATTCCAAATGTTTTTTAATTAAACCTTTTGTCTAGGTAGATAATTCTATCATTTCCAAATAGTGATAATTTCATTTCTTCCTTTCAGATAGTTATAATTCTTATTTCTAAGTCATATAATATGACATTGTCCAAAACTTCTAGAAGAACATTAAATAATAATGGTGATAGCAGCCATCTTTGTTTTCTTCCTGATCTTAGGGGAGATGATTCCAATATTTCACAATTCAGTATGATTCCTTCTGTTGACATGACATAGATAATTTTATCCTGTTAAGGATACTATTCTCCTTTGTTACTGGTTTTAAAAAATTTGGAATCAATGCTAAATTGTATCAAATTCTTTTTGTTCCACATGATTTTTAGTAAGGTTTTCACACCTGTATCCCAGATTTTTGTAGAAAAGTCAACATTTAAAATATTTAAAATTTGAATGAAAAGGCAATAAATGCATGTTGGGGAGGAAGGAAAGACACACAGCTCCTGATTCAATCAGACTTTGATCACAGAGCAAGGATGGGATTCTTATAGCACCTAGCATAGTAGGCATTCAATAAATGAACCAATATTGATTTCTCTTTGAGATGACATCTAGTTTCACATTCCATTTTTGTTTGAGCTTATCAAACAAAATCAAATACAAGAAATTTTAATAAAACATTTCCTAAGATCTTACCTAGAGCAACAATGATGTTTTGGAGGCCTATGTACATGAGAAAATATTTGAGAGATGGGATGAAAAATTCACTGCACTATAAATATATCACAAAATTTCAAGCATAAATACAAAAGATATTTATTTTCAGAATATATGACTGAGTAATTTGCGGGTTATATTGAGAAAAATGACATAGTAATTTATCTTTCTAAGAATATCTTTAACGTGATCTTATATTTTATGCTTTTTAGTTCAATAAAATGGTCAAGTTGATTTGTACAGAGGAATTAAGAAATTTGGTTCCAATAAAGGAAAAAATTACGTTGCTTTTTTTTTTTCTTTTACCCTGACTCCATTCATGACTTACTTCAGACAATTCAGATGAAACATATTTATTTCCTCCCCTATATGAAAGACAATAATTTGTGTATTTTTTTGGGCAATATATTTGCATTCTTTTTTATTAATGGGTTCTTATAAGATTCTTTTAAGGTTGAAATAATTAACCTTTAAAGGCACAAATAATTAATAGTCTTTTCTTTGTTCAGGATTATTGAGCTTATTGTTGCACTCAAATGTTTTCAAAAGAAAAATTTATATCTCAGAATAAATGAGGAGATAATAAACATTAGAGAGCAAAGACATACAATGTGGCTGCCTAACGAAGAAAGCTTAAATCATAAGATATAAACATAAATCAGGGAAAATACTACTAATATGATCTTCAGGATTCTTTTGGATTTAACATTACACCGAAAACCTTCATGTACACATTTTTTTTAAAAAATACAGAAAGCCCAGTATTTCTACCAGGTCCAGAAAAAAACAAAATGAATGAATGAATTGAATACTGCAGAAATTTTAAAATTTTAGAAATGCCAAAAAGCTAAATCTCATAGTTTCTGGAACATAATAGTTTTTCTCTTCCAACATTAACCCTGTCACATTTTGGCCATTATTATTTGAGCCACACCATCCATTTCTTTGAACATCTTTCTTCAGGGTAAGTGTTCAATACTGAAGCCCAGTCCAAGCCAAGGATGCACAGATGGGTGGTTACAGCTGCAGCTCCTCTGACAGACTGCAAAAACCCGCTGGGACACTTCCCCCAGCTCTGTCTATCCATCTTGTGAGCTGGTGCAACTCCACCTTGCTCACGGCTTTGTTGAGTGTGTCACAGGACTTTGGCCAAAATGCTACAATTCGAATGGGTCTTATTAATGGGATGAAAAATGGACTCTCAAAACACACTTACATACAGATCACATGTTTTTCCTGAAATGACTGACAATTCTAATAAAAAAGAACATTATAATAGGTTTAAAAAAACCTTCAGAAATAGTGTATTCAGACTCTCTTTAGCAGGGTGAATGAGTCAAGTTACTCAATAGGATCCATTCAGACTGATTAAATTGGAACCAAGCCAAAACAGATCTTCAAGATCTGAGAGATAGTGGTCATTGAGCCGGGAAGAGGGAAATGGCATCAACTTGAGAATGTACAGACCACAATAGTGATAGAAAATAATAAATTGGTCAGTCCAAAGGCTAGCACAAAAATTTATAATAATGAAACTTCTAGGCTTAAATATTCACAGCTTTCCTCATTTAAAACCTGAGATAATGAATCTGAAACACCTGCTTATGATACCAGACAAGGCCACTTAAAGATTTTAATTAGGAATAGACTAAAGTTTCTAATCTGAAGTTTTATTTACTTACTGGTTACTTCATCTACCTTCCAAAAATAATTTGAGATGGTTCATAAACATATAGTAAATTAGCACACATACACATTTAAGTCCATAAAAGAAGAAAAACATGAACAAAAACTGCAGGGGTTAGAGAAGTAGTGGGGGCAAAAACTTAGGCTGAAATATTCACCAAGGTTAAGAATTAAACTTATCTCTGAGTTTCTTGGGAGCCAAGGCAAAAAGGGAAACAAGGCATTATATAATTTTTACGCCCTGATGAAAGAAAGAATACCGCCTTTCAGGAGTAAAGCTTTCTCTATCGTGACTTTTAAAAAGAACGAATCAGTCTTCAAGATCCCATCATCAAATCGTGCCTGTTCTGCATGATTCCTGACCTAGATTGCCAAAGATTATGAAATCAAGCTTGATAAATTATGAAACAGCTCAACCAATTTCTAAACTAAACAAAAAGGGAAAATCAAATGAACAAACGTTTCCAAACATTTAAAAGTTAGAACCACCCAAAATAAAATTGAAACCAGCGGCAAATAAAGCCAATCCAAATCTCAGCAAACCAGAATCACAAAACCCTGTCGCTACAGGCTTGGGAAAAAAATGCTGCTTGTCAGTCAAAGTGTCTGTCTATGGCATATGGGTAAAGGTTTCAGTCTGCTATCTCCAGACTCATCTTATGGCACTGGTTCAACACCAGTGAATGGTGCTTTAAACAAAAGGAGAGCTCATTCAAAATGGGCGTTTGAGAGTTACCGGTCAGTGTAGCTGTGCAGTTTGTATAAGTGAAAACTATTGGCATGGGAGAAATGAAGTGCAGCTCCCAGGCCTTTGGAGTTTCCTAAGTGCTGAAAAGCAGCCGGGAGGTTAAAGCTGGCTGGTCGGAATGGCATACTTGGCTGAATGCACAGCCAGGTGGCTTGGGCATATTGGCAAACAACTGGCAACCTGCCCAATACATATGGCTTAGATTGCTTTGCTCTTCCCATGAAGCCTTCTTAGACTCTTGAGCAAGCATTCGTTTTAGAATAAAATGTGTCTGAGTGTTAAATAAAATTTTTTAATAATATCTGTCTGATGTAAAATCCCTTTACCAAAAATAAAAATAAAAATAAAAAGATGGGAGGGGTTGGTTGCCAAATGCATGAAATAAAGCATTTCTTTGTGGGAGGAGACTTTGCAGATCCCTTTTCAACCATCTTTGGACTGAATTATTTGGACCTTTCAGGTTCATGGGGGTTAAAATGACCCCTGCAATCCCTGAGAAGCAGGGTTAATGTGAAGTTTAGGGATGGCTGCCAAGAGGTCAGGTGACTATGAATTCCTAATAAATACATAAAAATACAAAGTAAGTAGAGTAGGATAATGGATGTGGACAGCAGATACATTTTGTAAAGGAATATTATGAAATCTTGATTGACAGATAACACTAAAAGGTGTTAGTATGGTCTATCATGTAAATACATATCTGGAGACTCGTTAAAACACAGTCTTTAAGTGCTAACTGTTGAGGCACATGTTACTTCCCAGGCTTTACCAAGTGGCTGCTTAACGTCGACAGCATGAGGCAAACTTTGGTTTAATAACCCCAGCTGATCACTAATCTTGTAATGCTACTACTATCGTACCACATTAAATATTACACAAATACTACTTTCTTCTAAAGTTGGGTTTTCTTCTGTTACACATGTTTGTTGTATGTCCACTGTTTCATTTTAGTTTACTGGATATCTAAAAAGTATTCACAACTGATACATTAGTGAATTAGATTACATGCATTACTGTCAGAATCCTGTTTTACTTATGATAATTTTTAAATATAAGTTTATGGTCCCTTAAAGTTGCAAGCCATTCATCTAATAAACTATGTTAAATCTTCTGGAATTATTATAGTCTACTCGGTAAAAAGATTACAGAGCTGGTGTTGTATTGTGTGTGTTTTTTAAGATTTTAAGCTCAGTAACAGCTCAAACACTGAAATAAATTAATCTCTCATACTAATGAGGGCTCCATACACTCACAAATCTAAAATCTCTTAGGTAGATGCAAACATATATATTGCGATAGAAAAGGAATCATTTGTGCTTATTCAGCAAGTACTGAAGATGTCAATCGTAGATACGAACAAGCAAACTTCCTTTTGGTGATACAAAATAAAATTTCCTGCTATAGTTGCTCCATCTCTTTCACATGCAAAAAAAAAAAAAAAAAAAGTACGAGCTGGGCGCGATGGCTCACAGCTGTAATGCCAGCACTTTGGGAGGCCGAGGCAGGCGGATCACAAAGTCAAGAGATCAAGACCATCCTGGCCAACATGGTGAAACCCCGTCTCTACTAAAAATACAAAAATTAGCTGGGCATGGTGGCATGCACCTGTAGTCCCAGCTACTCAGGAGGCTGAGGCAGGAGAATCACTTGAACCCGGGAGGCAGAGGTTGCAGTGAGCTGAGATTGGGCCACTGCACTCCAGCCTGGCAACAAAGCGAGACTCAGTCTCAAAAAAAAAAAAGTACTATGGACATAAAAACTCATGTAATGGCTTTACATTGAGTATTTACTGTGTTTTAGGCTAAAACCTTCAAATCAATTTCCTTCTCACAGACTTTTTTTTTTGTTTTTTAAAAAAACAAAAAACAAAATATATAAGTGATAGAAACACATTTTGAGGAATGGAGCAAACTTAAGGTGGAAGGGTTCAATAGATTCCTATGTCATGAATCTGGAAAATAATATATTTTTAAAGTCTGTTTCTTGGCAGGGATAACACAGCAAAGAGCTTCATTAGTAAATCTTTCCAATACTCAAAATTATGGGGTGAAAGGAGTGGAGACCTTTTAAAAATGGACTTTAGTGCCTCATGAAATGACCTTTGCAGCATCACATTTTCAACACCCTTATCCTCTGCTCTTGATCAGCAAGTAGTACCACTTAAGAGCTTTATTAGAACATCCCTTTGCCAACTTGGAATAGCTCCAGGCAACTCTGTCTTCCAAGGACACAGTTTGAAGTACTTAGAGTAAATTGCAATGGACTGGATAGATGAGTAGAGGAGGTGAGACAACTGAATCAAGTATCACTGCTTCTGAGACAGAGTCCCCCACCACCAGGCACTTGGTACCAAATGGAGACTAGAGCGTTATTAATTTTTAAGGGCTTCAGATAAACAGAAGGGTCAGCAGGAAGATGATTTTTACACCAACAGGACTGAATCAGAATAAGTTTCTTCACTCAAAAGCAGAGAAAAGGCTAAGGGCATAATTTCTCAAAGTGTGTTTTGGGAGGTTAATGGGGGTTGCATGAAAAAAGGATTCCACTGACAAATAAATTTGGCTACTGCTAGTTTAAACAAAGTTCTCAGACCCTCTAATATATTAATGTGCGTCATGACTCTCTCCAAGAGAGACAACAGTATGCATACATATTTAAATCTTAATTCACCAAAAAAGCACACTTTTTTCTATGGAGCATAAGAGATAAGCATTAAGAAGTATATTTTGGCTAATATTAACTTGAGCTTTTAAAAGTTAGACTTAAGTAAACTTGTTTAAAATTAAATTGAAAAGTTAAGTTCAAGACAATAAACTAATTTTAAATATATTTTTAAAACTAATTTTTAAATATTAAACTAATATTAAAAACTAAGTAATAATTTCCCTATTTTAAACACAGTGTCTAACTGACCTTACTGTATGTATCTCAATAAGTAAAATTCTATCTTATCAGCATTAAAAGTCCTCCCCACCTCCAAATAAAACCCAACTCTAACACAAGCTTTTTTCTTCATATTAGGCAAGAACCCTCTGGTAATATGTAAATAGAGAGGTCAGTTTTCAAACAGGCTGGTTTCTGAATATGGGTTTTAATTATTTAAAACAAAATTTAATTTTTCTAGAAGGTTTCTGAGATGAAGTTTTAGTTGATATCCTCAGAAAACCTCAAAGTATTTGTTAATAGAATTTAGCACCCTAATGATCTAGATTTTGGTCACAGAGTTGTCCAATTAGAAAATGTAAATTTTAATAAATAGAAATACAGAGAAGAGGTGGAGGATAGCTATCATTCTAAATAAAATTACTGTTTATTATCAAATGAGAATTCCACATTCAGACAAAATATTTACAAAAAAACAATTCTGGAATCGTGGAATCTCAGAGAAAGTCAACAAGTGATCATAAAATTTTTAAAATATAATTTGAAATGTTTATCTTATATTCTAAAAATAAGTTAAAATTTGTGGAGTTTCCAAGTAGTCTCATTTTATATTCTCAATTCCCTTTATGAAACCTGAAAAACTGTAAGTTTGTACAGGTCCATCAAAATCCATATTTTGTCTCCTTGCAAAGTACAGGGAAAGGTTCTTCTACTCATAGCTGCATGTGACACCTTTCATTAAAGCTACTTTTTTTAAAAAAATGACACAAGAATATGCTTGGATTACAACACATTTTCCTGGTAAACATTTGCTCTATTTTATTTTTGCTTCTGGTCTCTATTTCCTGGCCAAAGAGTAGTCTCACCTAATGGTAATAAATGATTTACTTCTTGGTTAAAACTCCTAAAGAAAATGTTCTTTAAATAGTGAAATTTTATTCAATTTAATTTTCAAAGAACTGCTGTTAAAAAATTCCAGTTAAAAAGAAAGATTAAACAGTTCTAAAAATAAACAATATTTGGTTAAACAAATACACAGATTTAAAGCATATGGGTAAAAATGAATGTTAGTGTAAACATTCGGCAACATTTTTTCCCTTCAAAAAAATTTCAGAGCAGAAACAAAAAAAAGTTATTTTGGTTTAAATTGTGAAGCCATTTTAATAAGTAATCATTTCTTCCTCAAGAAAAAACATTTGTATAGCCTCAGAAATCTGTTTCATTTCAGTCTTTGTATAAAACTGCACATGAAAAGTATATTTATAAAGGAAATACCAGACTTGGAATTATTTATGTCACTGTAGCATATATATAATAAATGAGAGCTCACTGGAGATATACATATCTTACATATATGAAGGTTGAATTCTGTCTTAAAACCTACTCTAAAGGAGTATTCTAATTGAATCACATTTTTAAAGTTCTATAAAGCATTATTTCAGCATAACAGTGTTTTACCTATACTTTAGCAAAACAGAATCTAGCTTTTTACCAGATGTGGTACTGACTCTAAATACCCATCATTAAAGTTAGTAAGTTTGAAACTATACCTCTCAGCTCTCAGGGCTCAATTCTCTTCTTTTCCTAAGTTAAAGAAAGACTATAAGGACTCAACCTTTAAACTCCTGGTAACATTCACCCCAAAATGGGAAACTAGAGCTGAATACATCTGCATGTAACAGATGATTCAAGAATGAAAACAAACAGGTTGAAAATATGCTAATGAGGAGAAAAGGCAAGGTACATAGAAACCCAACTGCAAGACTCTAAACGGTATAACGGAAACCTTAGAAACATAATGCAAATTACTTGACTTTCTTTGCAACTGGATACTCTTGGACTTAGATTTAATATTTTACATCATTGCTATGAGAATATTCTTTAAAGGTGTTGCTTCTGCCAACTAAATTTAAAATATGTGTAAGAAAACCGTAAAACTTTTTAAACTTCTCCATAACAAAGAGCCCACACTATCCATTTCTACAGTAAAACTTAAAACACGTAGATCACTTTAAAACTTCATATAGTGATAGTGTTTAACATAACTTATTTTAAAAGTATCTTGTTTTAGAGAAAATTTGTGAACAAAAATGTTGTACAGAGTTCAGAGTGCTTTTGAAGCCCAAAGACCAAACGCTCAGTTTTAACAAACCAACAATGTCTGTTCATTTTGCCCAAATCTTTTCAGCTTAAATATTCACAATGTGCCATTATTACCGAATCATTATCTGCCTTTAGCTCTGACAACAGCATCATACGGGCTATGAAAGGCTCCTTTCTTCTCATGATTAGTCCCTAAAACATTTCCTCATCTTACAGTGCTTTTTAACTTCCCAGAATGCATTGCTCAATTACAGTGCTGAAATTAACTGTACGCCACTCTTATTTATTGAGAAAAGAATAATCAAGTACTCCAAACCATGTCATGGGTTGCCCACAATTTTATATCAAATTTCAACTAATAAAAATATTAACTCTTTCAGGATGCCAATTTTTAAAATCCACCATTTATCTTCACTTTTTGGCTATGTCTTGCAAAACTATCAACGATTTGGATTTCTACTGTTCTCTATAAAATACAGCTTTTACAATAAATGCTAAGTGTCTATGGAAGGTCTATTTATTCTTAAAATAAAAATTTTTAAATAAGTTTTTGTCAGATCCCTTTTAAACTTAAATTCCTTCCTTCTTTTCTCAGCAAAGTAGGATTTCCTTCCACATCTACTAATACACAGTGTGAAACTGCTGCAAATTATCTTTCTGGAAGCAGGAAACAGAAATAAATGAAAACCCTGACACCAAAGTGTAGAAATGTTTCAATTCCATAATAATTTTGTTTATACCACTAGATAGCACCTCTTCCTCAATAATAATAGTAATCTTATTAAATAGAGAATGTAATTTTTATACATACACTCTTCAAACAACTGTTATTCTGATAGTATTATTTGAACACAACATTATAAATGAAGTTTGCCAATCTTCAGATATTATTAAATTGATTATTTCTATGTTTTGGGGAAGCTATATTCAAAGTACTTAGTAAATTAAAAAATGGATTACTATCAAATACTACAGTTGAAATATATTTAAAAGACACGTGTTGAGTAAACCAAAAAAGCACAGAAACAATGAATTAAAGCTATGATTGTATTCACACTGCAAGTATCTGTATGGAAAGGGATGAGAATATTTAACATGTGGATTTATATTTATTTGTTTTATACCTTCAGCCAACAGAAGAATGTAAATAAAAACACTTTTTAAACCTCAAATATACTTACTAACCCATGCATACATTAATCATTCATACCGCATGATTATTGTTCAGTATTTTCTGCAATAACAAATTGGAGGGTGTGGGGGTTATTGTGGGTTTCAGCAAACCACATTCTATTTAGGCAAAGCCAAGTATTAAAGAAAGGCCTAACTTGCCAAACCAAGATAAATACATGCCATTATTATGATTACATAAAAGCCACTGTTCCCAGCGTTACAATTTCTCTTATAATTGGCACTATTATAATTAAATGGATTCATATGTTTACAATTCTTCTTTGAATTGTAAAGTGATTTAGCAATGATAGTGTCTCTAATTTCTTTTAACTATACTGACAAACTTCACTTAATCAGTGGTCTAAATACCGCATTGCCACAATAAATTAGGTAAATACCCAGTAAGGCCTGAATTGCTATTGAGTTTAAGTATGTTATAATAAAGTAGCGAGTAACTTCTCCAAAGCCTGTTGCTGGACTAGCCCACAAACCCACAAATGGAGGGGATGGCATCAAGTATCCCAGTGGCATTTAAGATATTCTCTGATGGATAGGGAGGCAATATGAACAGGGAAGAAACACACATGTACACACACATGCAGAGTTAAAATCTCATGGGTTTTGAAAACAAACAGGAGGTGACAGATCATTACAAAAAACAGAAACACTAATATTGTGGGGTTTCTAGTCCTTGTTCCTTAAGACCCAAGGAGTTCTTCACTTGCTCCTTTCTCATCAACAGAAAGACAGGGGCATAAAACATGCCTCCCTATCATTGGCGGAAAATGCCGATGGGACCTGACATGCCATAGTTTACCTGCCACCCCCAAATAGAAGCTATTATGCGTTATTTATTTATTTATTTATTTATTTATTTTGAGACGGAGTCTCGTTCTGTCTCCAGGCTGGAGTGCAGTGGCGCGATTTCAGCTCACTGCAACCTCTGCCTCCCGGGTCCAAGTGATTCTCCTGCCTCAGCCTCCTGAGTAGCTGGGACTAAGGCGTGGGCCACTGCGCCCCACTAATTTTTCTATGCTTAGTAGAGACAGGGTTTCACCATGTTAGCCAGGATGGTCTTGATCTTTTGACCTCGTGATCCGCCCGCCTTTTTTCTTTTTTTTTTTTTGAGACGGAGTCTCGCTCTGTCACCCAGGATGGAGGGCAATGGCGCGATCTCGGCTCACTGCAAGCTCCGCCTCCCGCGTTCACGCCATTCTCCTGCCTCAGCCTCCCAAATAGCTGAGATTACAGGCGCCCGCCACCACGCCCGGCTAATTTTTTGTATTTTTAGTAGAGACGGAGTTTCACCGTGTTAGCCAGGAGGGTCTCGATATCCTGACCTCGTGATCCGCCTGCCTCAGCCTCCTAAAGTGTTGGGATTACAGGTGTGAGCCACCGCACCCGGCTTCTTTGTTCTATTATTTAAATGTTAGATAGTTGGTAGTTCCTTAGATAGTTTTAAGCCTAACTAGACTCCTTATATATGCCAAATCCATATATCTAATAAATGTTTAAAAATAGTTTAGAAATAATTGAGGCTAGTGGTTGGAAAAAATTCTTTTACAAAGTATGCAAGCAATAATAAAGGGTAGAGGTTTTTTTTTTTTTGAGACTGAGTTTCGCTTTTTCACCTAGGCTGGAGATCAGTGACCTGATCTCAGCTTACTGCAACCTCTGCCCTGTGGGTTCAAGTGATTCTCCTGCCTCAGCCTCTCGAGTAACTGGGATTATAGGTGCCCGCCACTACACCCAGCTACTTTTTGTATTTTTAGTAGAGACGGGGTTTCTCCATATTGGCCAGACTGGTCTTGAACTCCTGACCTCAGGTGATATGCCCGCCTCGGCCTCCCAAAGTGTTGGGATTATAGGCGTGAGCCACCACGCCTGGCTGAGTTGATCAATTTCTTATCACTTAGTTTTGTTTAAAAATGTTTTAAAAACACAAGTTAATGCTGCTTTTTTACAAAGATGATCTATAAGTACACAGTCATGTTTGAGCAATATAGATCTTAATTGCCACATTAATTATAATAATAAAAACTTGCAAACAAACTCAGTGACCATCACAGAATTGGTTTCACAAATGATCCATCAATAACATGAAATACTATACGCCCACTGAAATGATTCTGTAGAAGAATACATAATAGGGAAAGGTGCTTGTGATACAGCATTATTTTTTAAAGGATTTCAAAAATACATATATATGTTTGGAAGAATAAATCCCTACATAGTAAAATTTTAAGGATTATTTTCCCAAGGTGATTTTATTTTCTTCTTTTTCCTAGAATGTATGTTACAAGTTTTACGTGATGACGGTATTTTCAATTCGTGGTTGATTGAATCCATGGATACAGAACCCACTGGCATGAAGGACTGACTGTGAGGAACTTGAGCATCCGTGGATTTTATCATCTGTGGGAATGTCTGGGAACGAATCCCCTGCAGATACCAAGCGACGACTATACTCCAACATACACCACTTTGTATATCAATTCGTGATTCTTTGACCTCTTGAAGTCGGTACATGAACATTCGGTGAAGAACCCCCATTTCCATTAGAAGATCCCCAAAGCTTCAAACATCTCTTACAATTGTAACATATTCAGAGATGCAGAAGCGAAGTGAGAATCAGCAACGCCTTACAAAAACAGAGTGGTACCTCCATTACAAAATATGTCTCTGCATATTTAGATATGTGTCTTTCTGTTTTACCTACTTAGCAACAATATGGTAAAAATGTTTGGCAAATGCTACTGAAAGAATGAAATATATAATCATGCCTTAGGAGCTTTCTGCCTTAAGGTTTTGCTGAACAAGAAGGAAATCAACATTTATTAAGTATCTTCTCTGTGCCAGTGACTATGTTAAACACTTTTAGGCATTACCTCATTTCTTCTTCAAAACAGTGCCATAATATAGGTATGACAACTGCCCTTTTAGGAGCTGAAGAAATTGAGGTTAGTGGATAATAAGCAGCCTGCCCAAAGTCCCAGAATTCTTAAGTGGCAGAGCTCAGACTGAATACAATGTCTAATTTTAGGCCTATATTCTGTTACATTTAAGAGTTTATAAACCACTGAAATGAGGTTTATTCTCATTCTGCAGTAAGACTGTGAGCCTTTCCCCTGCAAAGTAAAGGTTAATCATGTATGGGGCTGTGAGGCAAATGTTTCATACTGACATGTGCCTACCAAAGTTCCATTTCCCAATCTTGAGCTTTTCCCAACCAGATCCAGCTGAAGTCCTGTGGGTCCTTCCCCTCTTGACTTCAGCTCTGCTATGGATTATTAAGCAAAACTCATGTTTCTGAGCAGCTCTGGAAGCACAGCTAAAGGAATGCTAAGGAGAAAAAAGTATAGATCAACTATTCTAACCATAAATTTAATAATGACATATAGTTCTCTTCTGGGCATAATTATGTACATTAATAGAGTCCATACAGTAGATATAGCTATTGAAAAGTTTAATCGGCCAGGCAGGGTGGCTCACACCTGTAATCCCAGCACTTTGGGAGGCCAAGGTGGGTGGATCACGAGATCAGGAGTTCAAGACCAGCCTGACCAATGTGGTGAAACCCCGTCTCTACTAAAAATACAAAACAAAAAAAAAAAAATTAGCAAGGTGTGGTGGCATGTGCCGGCAGTCCCAGCTACTCAGAAGGCTGAGGCAGAAGAATCGCTTGAACCCAGGAGGCGGAGGTTGCAGTGAGCCAAGACTGCGCCACTGCACTCTAGCCTGGGTGACAGAGTGAAACTCCATCTCAAAAAAAAAAAAGAAAAAAGAAAAAAAAAAGTTTAATCAATGTCCTTTTTATTAATTAATTAATTAATTAATTTAGAGATGAAGTCTCATTCTGTCACCCAGGCTGGAGTGCAATGGCGTGATCTTGGTTCACTGTAACCTTTGCCTCCCAGGTTCAAGCGATTCTCCTGCCTCAGCCTCCCGGGTAGCTGGGATTACAGGCACCCACCACCACGCCCAGCCAATTTTTGTAGTTTTAGTATAGACGGGGTTCCACCATTTTGGTCAGACTGGTCTCGAACTCCTGACTTTAAGTGATCTGCCTGCCTCGGCCTCCCAAAGTGCTGGGATTACAGGCGTAAGCCACTGCTTCCAGCCTCAATCCCCTTTTTAGAGCATACATACACAGACAGTTAAACAAAATAGGACAGTAAAAGTTATTGCTACACACTAGTATCAGAGAGAGTATAGATATCTATTTCAAACATGTGTCTCAGAGGCAATTAATTTACCTGAGCAATCAATCATGTTTTGTTGAATTGAGCAGGTTTTTAAAAACTAAAGTGACTATTCAGTTCAGCTGAAACAGTGAAACATTCTCATTTCAAGAGCCAACTGAGATAACTCTCATGTTCCACCATGAGACTGCATCTACCTTTTACCCAGAGCAAGAAGTAGAGGCCTTCTTTGAAATGTTTATAGTCACCTGAATATTCTTCATGTTTTTTTTTTAATTTAGGGGTTTGTGGCGATGACAGATAAAAATTGAAACCCACAGTACTGGGTTGGGCATCCCAAGACATTAAAAACTACTGAAGCTATGCAGATGCATCTTCCAGGCAAAGATGATATGATGATAGCACTGGACGATTATGCAAACCTTACAGCCCTTCCAGAAATGTGAACTACCCAGCACCATGAACTGAACTCAGCGATGTTCAACAATGGCCCAAACTCTCTGATACAGGGAATGGGTAAATGAACTGGAACTATGTCACTACAACATGGTTTACAACAAGATATGACTATCACAGTGCATCAGCACCATGCAAGGTTCATAGCCATCAATATTTGTCCTTGCACCTGGTAACATCAGCAATTTGGGGAATTATCAAGTTCATGGCAAATAAGCCATCAAGCATTTCAAGAATTTATTTAACCAAAGCAAGGTACGTGAATGCTGACCGCATGCGCTAAACTTTCATGTGCTGTTCATTTTACCTGACTGGGTCAGACTGACCTCAGAAGAGCAAAGGGCAGAATCTGACGCTGAGTCACATAAAAAAGGGGCAAATGAGTCCTGAAATACTTCTGTTCATCATGTTAGTGAAGTAAGTTAATAAACAATTCCTTTGTAGTTAGCTGATTTCCACAGGAAATATAAAACAGAGGTCATTTATAAGTCAAATAGTATCATCCTTATTTAATTATAGCTTGATAGATATAAAATTGGCTTATCTCATTTACTTGAATAAGTTACACTTCTACAATGATGATGAAATTTACTTTAGTTTTTTCTATTCAGTGGTCATCAGTGGAAAGAACCTTACATTAATCAGCTACAGAAGGAACTGAATTTTTATTGGTGGAGTTAATTTAATTTTTTAACCAGTCTTTTACTTTTTTTTTTTAACTAGTTCTAAACATATCTAATAATATCTCCTAATAAAGTAATGATCTTTTGTCTTCAACAGTGGGTGATTTTAATGTTTTTGTTTTTAGAACAGGAAAACTTGGAACATGCTTATCAAAAATTTACAGCATTACATAATCAGTAATTGCATGGACATGGTCCCACTAGAATTTTCCAACTGTGTTGCATACAACAAAAATATTCTTGTAAGTTGCATGAAAGATTTTAGACTTCATATAACAGTATAATCATTTTGAGCAGTTCGACAATATTGAAGAATCCATCAAAGGTATTTTTTAATATCTTCATTAAAATACATTTTAAAGCAATGATAAAATTTCCGTTAGGTACTATTTTTTTCAGTTTTAAAAGAAATATATTCACTGAGAAATGTGCATTTTAACAAATATTTCACTGCAGACACTTATTTTGTTGAAGAAGTGGTACTATGAAGTCCTGTCATAGTACTACCTGGCATTAGGGAAGTGGGAAGAGTGTATTCCTTGATCTCTGCAGCTCTTTGCAAATGATTTTATAATAAAGGAGTTACATTTAAGGGTAACTCGGAGCCAAGACCTGTTTCACAAATGGTGCTGGTTTTAGCAAGCAAAGCATAAAACTTCAGTGCCATTTGTTATACTGGCTACTGAGGTAGTAAACAAAGTATGTACTTACAAAACATCTTCAATTCTCCTATAATGTCAAATATGACATAAGACAGGGAAGTTCTCAGAAAGCTGAGCTTAGCTACTATATATTATAGAGGTGAAAGCAAGGGGACTGGGGACAGAGGTCTTGTCATATATCCAGATTCAGAAGTCACCGTTTAATGATTTGGGGAAAATCTCTTTAAATTCTCAGAGCCTCAGTTTTGTTATCTATAAAATGGAAAGTGGTAATGATGATAATGATAATAATAGCCATTCTTTCTCAGCAAGCAAGTATGAAGCTCAAATAATATGTGGGCACTTAGCAAGCTGTTAACTGATATATAAATGTAGTTTATTATTAACCCAACTTTTAACTTCCATCAGCCAAGCACCACTCTCTGCCTTCTACTCCCAATTCCCATCATTGAGATTCTATGTAAGATATTAGCAAAATTCTGGCTTTCCAGGACTTTTTTTTTTTTATTGCAAGGACTGAGGCTGGAGCTCCACTTAAGTGGTTTGATCCAAACTGGAAAAGCAACTTCCAGCAAGGAACATCCAGATAAACCCTTTGCGGAACAAAAGAGTGGGCCCCCTCCTGACCACAAAGATGGAACCCGCTCTCCTTGATACAATCCACGAATTTACATCTTTTAATCGGCTGTCCACTCAGGCCTAGGCGTAGTCAGAAAATGACACCCTCCACACATGTGTAAGCAGAAATTAGCTCAACCACGGCTGACCCTATGTAGTTCTGGGTTTGACTGGGGAGCACTTTCAAACTCCTATACTTCCGACGAAACTCACTGGAGCTTTTAAGTCACACAGTTCAATAATTTGTATCCCACCTTCCTGGAGTGTATCTTCCCTGCTACTCATGAAAAGTACAACCACGAGCCAACACACGCCTGGTGCGTCAGCAGGACTTAAACTGTCTGACTGGTGGGTGAGGTCGGGGAGTGTAGGGTGGTGGCGGGCATGATCTGTGTGCAGTGTGACAGAGTAGGAGCAGCCAGGAGAAGTTGGGTAACATGCACTCTGACCATTATTTCAAGCCATCGGATCGCAAGGTTGTTGGTAAATGCTAGGGAGAAAAGCAGATTTTTAGTACCGCTTTATGAAACCCCTTGTGTCCTTTCCAAGGAACTGTACTCAAGCAATCATAAATACTCTGCATACAGTATGTGGTACCAAGGGCATTTTATCCTGGGAAAACAGTAAAATAAGATCACTACAGAGCTGAGGTTCTTCTAACTCAAGTTCAGTTGGGGTGGGAAACCACGTCCATGTGCCAGTACAGATTTAAATGATCTATCATCTGCCAGAGAGGAAAACAGAAAATGAAAAAAACACAGGCCCATCATGAACAGGGTTACATATATCAGCTCATCCTTGGAGACTTAGACTTGCAGTCTGTTTCATGTGAACACATATCTTCACAACCCGCATCTCCTGTTGACATTGAAACATTCACACGTCATCTATATCAGGCGCACCATGCCTCCAACTGAAATGGTATTCAAATCTGGAGCATCAAGACTGATACTCAATTGTCAACTGCCCACCAGGAACTTCTAAGGGTCTGAATCAAAGTATATGAAACCACTGGAGGAACCACAGCATTTTCATATCCTGTACATCAAACTTGGGTCACTTTAAATTTAAAATTTCATTATTGTTGCCCTCGGGGTTATACTTTCCCGATTTTTGTCTTTTTCTTTCGATGCAGTCACTGCAATTGATCCAACTGCCTGATACCACAGAACATAGGAAAAGTCAGGGAAAATACTGGGATGGGCAGTGGAACAGTCAAGAGGAGCAATGGTGAGCCTCCTCAGATATCTCTGCCAGACCACTAATGGTGACCAGGCCACAGTGTGAAGGCAACATTAGCAGAACCAGGCAAAGCTGCACACTTTAGTAAAAAACTAATGCAGCTGCCAAATTGAAAATAAGTATGGTCTACTTTCGATTATCCACAAGTGGTTTAACCACACGGCCTCCTTCTTCCTCTGGCTCAACCTCAGTCTGGGCTGCAACCCAGACACTGAGCAGGGTGGGGGTCTGCAGGTCTGAATGCAGTGTCTGTGCCTGAAGATACAGTCCCAACTATACTGAATAGTAAATTTTCTTTTATGCATCAAACCACAAAGTTCTCTTTTATCAATAAGGACAACTGCAATGTATAAAATGAAATTGTTAGTAAAAACGATGTTTTACAGCCTCTTTTTAATGTTATAGAAAATGAGCTTCTTTAAAATTCACAAGCAGATGTTTAGTAGATGATAGAAAACTTTATAAATTTTATTCATTAATTCAATTATTCAAAAAGCTTTAAGAAGTCCTTACCACATTATCTGCTGGACATAAAGATGAAGACAATTCATGGCTCACAGACCATACTGCATAATAAACTAGAATTCAAAACTCATGCTTTCTAAAATCTAAAATATCCTTATAGATTAATATTACACTGTCCTTGGAGTAAATGTAATTTATTTGTTAATTGTCTAGAAAAATAAGCTTTAGTGTGTCTCAAAGGTGACATCTTAGAAAATTTTCAGTGGAGTAAAGGTGAAATGTTAGCACAGATGGAATCTGTCTTTGATGTTCTGCCCCACCTGTGCCCTTAAGCACTGAAAGTTCCTTGCTTGCTTATCCCTCTTTTAAAAGCAGGCCCCTATGCTATCACCCCTACTTAAAAATCCACAAACAACCCCTTTCTGCTGCAACTACAAATCCAACAACCCAATTTGCTAATTTAAATCCACACCCTAAGCGCATAAGACTCATGAAGACTAAAACTTCTAAAGGAGTTTTCTCACATTTGAAAAATAGCAACCAATCCCAGCACTTTGGGAGGCCAGGCGGGCAGATGGTTTGAGTTCACAAGTTCGAGACCAGCCTGGGCAACATGGCAAAACCCAGTGTCTACAAAAAATACAAAAATTATCCAGGTGTGGTGGTGCATGCCTGTAGTCCCAGCTACTTGGGGGCTGAGGTGCAAGGATGGCTCGAGCCCATGAGGCAGAGGTTGCAGTGAGCCAAGACTGCACCACTGAACTCCAGCCTGGGTGACAGAGCCAGACTTTGTCTCGAAAAAAATAAAAATGAAAAGAAAAATAGCACCCTTCTCTACAAGTCTCTAATTGACGGAATATGTGGGAGAAAACATGTTTAATTGGGTGTAATATTTCCTGGTGTCTCTTATTTGCTCTAGACATCTATGAGAAGTTATTTAAGTTCTCTGAAAATTGACTTTCTTCATCTATAAAACGGCAATGATAAAAATATAAGACTTAAAAGGTTGTTGAGACAATTAAATGAGATAATCCATGAAAGCATTTAGCTTGGTATCTTTTTAAAAAATAAGCTGTTACTATTTATCATCATCATTACTACTTAAATATTATCATTACTAATAAATTGTAATTTGTAATTCATTTCTGAACTGTGACCAACTGCTGACTCAAAAAAGGAAGACAAGGAACCAGAATCTTCTAAATATTATTAAGGCTTCATAAGGTCTCAATGACTGAGAAACATAACTTCTGGTACTGTAATTTTCCCAATAAAAACTGGGTACTGTTTGTTTTTTGAGTTAATATATGCGATTCAGGGCAAAGCCCCTAGAATGTAGCCATTATGGAGGCAGCAGTCATCACAATGTCTTCAGGCTTTTGAAATGACACAGTTCACTCAACCAGAAAAGGTTATACTAAGATACCCATAAGCCACGAAAGTGTACAAACTTCCTTCCTAATACAGCATACTCCTTGCAATCTATTTTCTTACTTGAAATTTATTGCTATAAATACAGAGCATGAAAAATGTGAAATGATGCCAGTTCAGCCATCACATTGGCCCTGATCCTTTGCTAAATTTATGCATTTCTCTAGTTTTCTAAATGCCAAAGAGCTAGGCAAACTAGAAGAATATTACGCTCTTCTCTTCAGTAAAGAAGTCCACCTGAGTGTTGCCTGTAGATGGAGCCAAGAGAGCCAAGGAAAGGGGATAAAAATGCTCACTTTACAGATGAGACTGGCAGGTTTGAGGTGTCCAGTGAGGTAGGATTACAATGAAATCATCCCTCTCTACAAGTGATCTGTGGAAGTCTTGCACACTTCCCAATGTCATATCCATTCTTCCAGTCTTTGTCCAATAATGGATAAATTTAACAGAACAAGGTATGACTCAGCATGAGAACTGTCAGAGATGCATGGGCCATCCCAGAAAGCATTTATAAGGAAAGATCTAACTCAACAGAAAATAGTCTTTCAGGATTCAGGACTGTGATAGATGCCACGAAAATTTGTACATGCTTAAGGATCTTACATCCTCTCATATTTAAGTCTCCTTCTCCATATGTGATAATAATTTAAGCCCTTAGGAGAAATGTTCTGGGGGAAAAAAGTACATTAAAGCCTGAATTTATTCAAAGAAATGGTTTTTGTGTTTTTTTAATTTTTCTGAAAACAGGAATACCATAACACAGCAAAATTGGGTTGTTTCATCACCTTTGCTACCTATCACAGGGGCAATGTGAAGATTTCTTTTGAGCTTACCAACCTTCCTTTTGCAATCTTATTCCACTTGAGGAAAACCACATTGCCTGCTGCAGAAATGAGACAGCCCTGAGCTAAGGAACCCAAAGGTATTATACCCTTCCCCGTGATTCTGTCATCCCAGTTTTTATGTCTATACACTTTGCCTGGCTACCATCAGTTTCTATCCTACAACACCTGGGCTCAGCATGAGAAGATCTTTTAGGATATATCTGTATTCATAATCATAAATAGCTAGCATAAAGCTCTGTACTAACAGAAAAAGGCTGGAAGGAAGTATACCAAGATGTTAATGTTAATTATTTTTGGACAGTGAAACTGTACCTGACTTCTCTTCCATTTTTCTGTATTTTCCAAACTATAATAATCCCATATTACTTTTTAATTTTTTTTTTGAGACAGAGTCTTGCTCTGTTGCCCAGGCTGGAGTGCAGTGGCCGCAATCTCTGCTTACTGTAACTTCCATCTCCTGGGTTCAAGTGATTCTCCTGCCTCACCCTTCCGAGTAGCTGGAACTACAGGCACACACCACCATTCCTGGCTAATTTGTTGTTGTTGTTGTTGTTGTTGTTGTTGTTGTATTTTTCATAGAGATGGGGTATCACCATGTTGGCCAGATTGGTCTCAAACTCCTGACCTCAGGTGATCCACCCGCCTCAGCCTCCCAAAGTGCTGGGATTACAGGTATCAGGTATGAGCCACTGTGCCTGGCCTCGTATTACTTTTTATAATTAAAAAACTTTAAAAATAAAGATGTTTGTTTATTTTGGGCCTATCTGCATACTGTGATGTGTACCTTGAGAGCTGTATGATCCCTGCCCTCACAGAGATTATATGGAAAAATAAATTTTAAAAGAACACAAAATAAATAAATAATAACAAAACCATTTAGGGGAAGGGAAACCTGTTTAACCCTAGCTGGCTATTGATGGCTTCCAGAAGAGCAAATCTGTATACACACGACGGCTTTTTACACAATGAACAGGTTGCATTTCTCTAAGGCAAAATATATAAATCTGATAGATAATGGAGTTCTCTCAAGTATTACTTTTCCTCTGAAAAAACCCATTTCCATTTAATACCACTGGAATACAAAAGACCAATATCTGACAGGGGAAAAAAAAAACAAAACTCTTGTGTTTTTTAGTTTCCAGGTTTCCTTAATACAGCAGTTCTTTTGGGTCCTTTGCCCAGGGCTACTCCAGTACAGCAGGAAATTCATCCTCCTCCCAGGCAGCGCTGGGAATGACTCCTCTACTCTGGTCCCCTAATTAAAGGGGCTGTTACTGTTAAGAGCTTCATTCAGTACTTTCTCCTAAATGTGTCATAAAACAAGTATCTTTGACTGCCCACTACTTAATCATCAAGAAACCAATCACGTCTGAGCCCTTTTTAACATCTTCCATCTTAGACTCCAGACATGTTTATTAAAAGTTTAAAGCTTTATTATTTTCAATAATAAAGCTTAAGACATATCATATTTTGTGAAAATTAACAGTAGGAAGAAATGCCAGGACAACCTTGTTAATACAAGAATAATAGCAAGCCACTACGTATAAGGTTCATAAGCAATGTCTTATTTAACCCTTATAACAATCCTATGATAGACTTCTATTATTCCTATTGTACAGACAGCAAACTGGATCTCAGAAAGATTAAGTAGTTTGTCTAAGGTCACAACACACAGTTTCAAACTCAGGTCTTCCTGACTCCAAAGACAGGGCTTCTAATATGTCAAACTGCTTCCCTTTGAATTTAGAAATAAAGGATGGGAAAGAGAATTTGAGTCTTTTCAAGACTAAAAGCCAAAACAAACATACAGATAGAAAAGCTACCAGAGTAGTCTTTTCCTCTTCATGCTCTTAAAACACTACATATTTCCCTTCCTCTTCTGAGCTCACTCTGCCTGGCATGGACCATACTTTTCCAAACTAGCTGCTCTCAGAAGGAATATGGCAGAAAAAATGATAAAACTGGGCAGACTTGCTTGCAATAAGATTTTCAGATGCAAGATTTTACTGGTGTACAAAAACAAGAGTTCAATCATAATGTGAACAGGAAAAAGCAAAGGATGATCTAGTTATAGGGAACGGTTCACCTAAGTGATCTCTCTTAGCTAAATATTAAAGAAAGAAAGCACTTGACCTGCTCCTGCAACACCACAGGTCTACTGGGAGTTCTCACTTTTTAAAAAGTGCTTCACGCATTGCAGACAGTGCCTTACCTTATCCATCTGTGAAGAGCTGCATCAAAAAAAAAAAAAAAAAAAAAAAGGTTCAGTGCATTTCCAAGGCATACCACTATCCAACTGGGTGAGACTCCTTTCACTCCTCATTCCTTTTCCTCAGCAAAACCCCTACACAAATGTGCACATTTCCCTCAAAATGGTAACTCATGGGATGTTATTAATATGGAAGTATGCTCTAATCTTTTAAAAACTTTTGTCTGAATAAATAAAGGGCCTACGCCTAACAAAAGCAAAAGGAGGCAGAAACAGTGATGGAAATGGCAGCACCAGAGAAGGCTTTTCACTCATGAATCGCTTTGCTGTTGGTGCCACAAAAATCCCACTTCACAGAAGAGAGATTCATAGGAATTCCATCTGGCCACATCTGAACAGCGCTTCTGTGGTCAAAGATGAGTGCTCACAGCTACAGATTTCCCTGCACTGCTCACACACTCTGGACTATCATCAACTGAACTCTAGATGTCTCGTGAGTATCCCAGTTTGTTAAGAATGACAGCTACCACACTGGGGGAGCTGGGAGGAAGGCACCCGTAGCTAGAATTAGCAAATTATCTGAGATAAAACCATGAAGTTAAAAAACAATAAAAAAAGGAAGAAAGATGAACTGTTTAAAGTTGGCTTGTGGTCTTGTTTTAAATCTAAAAATCATGGAGAGAGAGAAAATATGAATAGATGTGAAATGGGTCTATTGTTTATGACTCAAAAATAATTTCCCAGTGAGGGTCTAAATTTGAGAGAAATAAAACAGTCAACGTAAAATGCCATTTATTCCCCAAACCATTCATTAAATTTTTGTTTCAAAATTCTGTACATTGTACAAAATTTTGACAATCTTCTCATCTAATTTTCTAACCCATCACAGCTACAAAATCTCTGAACCACCTCAGCAGAACCATTCCCTCCCAGATGTAGGGTCCCCAGCTCCTCCACAAGTCCACTGTTGGCCTTCTTCATTGTCATAATGACTTTCTTTGCATGGAGTTGACATCTATCTGTCCCCTAACTCCCATTAGTGCTAGACATACATCGAAAGATATAAACAGTACCTTTACTTATTCTTTCATACGACAGCACTTCAGAATAACAGGTATGTTGGTCCCAAATATGCAAAATTTTGCAAGTAACAGTACAATGGTGTGTTTGAATGTGACTGTATGTGTGTGTGTGCTGCCATGAGGTAGGCTTGGGAGGGCAATCTTGAGCAGAAAATAACAATTCTGAAAGAAAAAGAGGAAAAGAACAGCTCTAAGATAATCCTCAGCTCTTTTCCAAAGGTAGCATCCAATGAATTTATATTTATCTAGATTACACCTTGCATCTTTAAAATGCAGCATGTCATCCAAAATAGAAGAAATTCTATCTGGTCAGAGGATGCACAGAAAAGAAGGCAATATGTGTCTGAGGTCGCACTGACAAGAATTATCAATGCTGGTGAAAGAAAATCTTCAGACTGACTTCTAATCATGCTCACATCCAAAAGAGATAAAATGCTAGTCATTGGTTTCAGTCTAAAGCCCATGGAAGTTCAATCAGTTTTCTTCCCTAGTCAACACTGTGAAATTGGTCTAATCTGAAAACTTGTTAGCAGCCAAGGTAGTATCTGTAGCTTCTCCTCCTAAGAAAAGGTTGTTACCAAACAGTAAAAGTGTTGCAGAAAGAAACTCTGCATCCAATCTGACAAGATTCAGTGTGCTGGCAAAAAGACTGATTTCATACAAATACAAAACATTGAAAAATGAAACACTTTTCAACCAGGAAAAGCCTCATATTACAAAATTTTATGTCTTATAAAGTCTTATATAACAATTTTTATAACAAAAAGTCTTACATAACAAAAATTTTGTCTTAAAAATGTCTGCAAAATAAGCCTGAGCAATAAAGGGAGACAAAAAATAATTTTAAAAACATTAGTTGGGCATAAAAAAGTTAATTGATGCACACCTGTGGTCCCAGCTACTCGGGAGGCTGAGGAGGGAGGATCAGTTGAGCCAGGGAGGTCAGGGTGTAGTGAGCCATGATTGCATCACTGCACTCCAGCATGGGTGACACAGCAAGCAAGACCCTGTCTCAAAAAAAAAAAAAAAAAAAAAAAAAAAAAGGGCTGCAAAATAAAAAGAGTAAAACCTCAGTGTAGGGCATTTGCTGACTACTGTGAAACTGTGAATCAAGGTAAAACATGGTAACCTGTGTCAGTGCTGAAACACTGACTGGACTAAACGTGAGCCTGTTGAAGTTCTCGTCCGCTCAATTCAACAAACCTCTCTGGTCCTGTCTCGTTGGATAACCAAGTGTTTGAACTCTGCCCAGTCTCACAACTTTCTGACTTCCTACTTTCACTTTTTAACATATTTATGCCTAGTGTTCCATTATTGGAACACTAAGGATGTGGAAGTTATTTATATCCTACTGCTCAAGATCATCGCCAAGGTCTGATTGCAAAAATTCAAAAAATTGCAACCTCCAGCATAAATGGGTTAATATGAAGACACTGGACCGAGTGCTAGGCCACAGCCAGGAGCACCAGATTTGCTCGATTCTAGAAGTTTCTCTATGTTGACATAATTACTGCTATGCCTATGAGAAAGCCCCATCTCTGAGAGCTAGCTTTTTATACAACTGCTAAGACAATTGAGTTATGATGAAACACCTCTTGAATCAAGAAAATCTGTTAAATGGACCTGCACAGAAATTGAGATGCTCTACATCATTTAGGCTAAGTCTTGCTAAAATTCTCAGGCAACTTAGTATAATATTAAGAGTACAGACTTGGGAATTAAGACAACCTCGGTTCAAAACGCATTTCTATAAAATATCCTAGCAGTATGGCCTTCGATAAACTGATCCACTTCTTTGTGCTTCAGTTTCCTCATTTGTAAAATGGAGATAGATAATAATAGTATTACCTTATAGGATAGCCATTAAGTACCTAATTGATAGTGAAAATGAATTTATAATTGGCAATGGGCTTTAAATCCATCAGTGTATACTAGCATGTTCCTAGTCCTATGCTAAACCTTCTCAACAAAGTGAAGTATGTTTGGGCCAACAGAATACAATCCCAGTGCCTAGAATGGTGGGTGCCAAGTAAAAAGTCATGGAGTGAATGAATGAGCAGGTTTTTAGAGAAAAAAGCTCTACCTAAATGTTTTCAATATCACTCAGCATATGTCAGAAAAATGCTCACACAATAAACTAATCATAGACTACAGGTGTCTTCAACTCACCATCCCTGGTAGATAAGAACAGTTGAGTTTGTTCTATAGTGAAGGTCAATGTCCAATCTCCAGATAGCCTCACTATCTTCAGTAACCACATCAACCCAAGGGTGGGGGGGGCAGAAGGTGGACTAAGGCAGACATAATACAAATACCCACAGCTGGAAATTAAATCTAATTTTAGTGCATTTTTGCTGCTTTGTCTTTATAAGGAATATAGATACAAATAAAATGGAACTTACGTAACCATCCAGGATTGCATAGAAAAGGCTGTTTCTTAAAAAAAATAAAATAAAAAATAAAAAAATATAAAGGTCCCTCCTGCTGCATCTCACATTAGGTACTACCTTTAGGGTCATTTACATCCATGCTCTAAATCCAAATAGATGCATGGATGAGATATTCTATAGAAAGTTCTGTGGCCCAGGCCAACCTTCTAGAAACTACATAGGAGTAAGTTTATGCCTGAATAACATCCAGTCCACCAGCTAACTGGCTCAAGTTCACTAATCAAAACCCAAGTTTAATTCCTTTGAGCCTATGCCTAAGATGACAAAGATCTTAAGACCACAGACTAATAAGAAGTTCTAAACTAGATACACTTCAAGAGGGCCAGAGGAAAGCAGGGGTCACTTTAATGAGAGCAATGTGGATGCAGAAAGGCCCCCGTCCAGTTCACCATTTCATAAACTGCTAGGCAGTTGGTGGCAAAATACATCCCACGGAATTTACAGAAACGGAAGTCACAGCAACACCTGGAAAACAAACCAGTATCTTCTTTGGTCAAAAATGAGTATTCACCAACTACAGCTCATACACACACCTAAATATCTGCCCTGAAATATGGGGTTAAGCTCTCCCATAATCCAAATGGAGCCTGGCAACTGGCCACGATCTTGGGGATGTACAGAGTTCCCTCAATGTATCTTTATCACTCAAAGGCCGGCTCCTACTAAAGTCGATTTCTTTTTTTTCTTTAATTCAGTCCAAACAAAAGTTATAGGGCACCCACTGTTACAAAGAACATCACAAGCACTAAGAAAACACCATCCCAGTGTTTAAGAAAACATGGCCCGGTGTAGGAGACCTCCTTACACACAAACAACTACAACGTAAACCAGATTTAACCACTACATGGCAACAGAAACCATGTACAATGGGTAGAAGGGAGAGGAAGAAGGCTAATCAAGGAAGGCTGGACAAAAGAAGAGATATGTGTTCCCTACCTTCTTCCACAAAAGTTTTGAGGCAGCCTGAAGGATGAGCAGGGTTTCAACAAGCAGAGCAAAAACCAGGCAACCCAGGCAGAAAAACAGGCATAGAAAAGGGGGAGGAGGGCACAGCGGGCTCAAAAGATACTTCTGTTTTATAAATAAGGGAGGGTGGTGAGCCATCCCGTGGAACTCGTGCTTTAATTTTGACATGTACACTAGAGCACTTGAAGCGCTCACTTTTATACTTTCTCCCTGTTAGTAATATTACTGATAGGTTCAAAAGATTCTGGGGCTTATCCCAGTTTCGCCTGCCTGCAATGTCTATCCCACTGCTTACACTCCTTCATTTAGTCAGGGCAGGCTTTAACATGTGGCTCATGGAGAAAAGTGAAACCATAGACACCAACGGGACTCGGAATAAAAAACACATTTGGAAATAAAATAAAGGTTAAGCTCTCGCACCAACAGACCTTGCTTGATCAGCAAAAATGTAGGTGTTAACAGGAAATCGCTATATTGTGTAATCCCCATTTCACCCTCCACAAAATTGCACTATAATTCAAAATAAGTGAAGCAACAATTGGACGGATGACCAGTTTTTGTTGTTTACATAGTTTAATGCACAAATGTGCAGTTTCCATGATTTTCAGAATGACGTGATTTACATGAGGCTTTAACAATAAATAAACTTGAAGTGCTGTATATAGTTAGCATATGGTGACATTTTTAAGCAAAGCTTTCTTCCACTCCCTGCAAGACATTTAAAATATTCTCCCCATTGGGGTCTTTCATTTTTATTTTACATCCTGCTAATTCTCCTCCTGTGCAAATATAAATTTTTGTTTTATAAATAAAACATAAGGGTGGAAAATAAAACAAAAAACATGTTCTTTATGTATTATTGCCACAATAATCAGTAACAACTGCGCATAGACTTTACAGATATTTATAATTTTGCCATTTTAAAAGTTAGTCATGGATGACAAAAATACTTATATTACTGTGTAATAATTTATGATATTTCTATAGACCTGGTATGTATCATCCTTCTTTAACCACCTGGCATGTCAGAATATCTAGGAAAGGATTAACAGAATTATTTGCAATAAATCTCAAAAATGTACCTTGTGAGGATCATACACAAATAAATCCTTAAACAAGGATGTACTCTCCTGTCAACTTTTTAAAAACCCTGCCATATGAATCTTATATATACAAGACTTCCCAGAGTCTTAGGGAACATATTTTGACCAAGGTGAAGGTCATGCCTGTATTCCATCCTCCTTCCCCAAAATTGACCACAGTGTTTTCCTGCCTTTTTCCTAGTTGGATTTTATTTAAAGAACTCTAATCAAGTTTATGACCATAATTACACTATAGGGAGATAACGCTTTAATTCCCTCTTACCAGAAATAGGAAGCAAGCCATAAAGGTGAAATCTCAATCTTAAGTTACCATTGGCACCTATCCTTCTGGAATATCAGGGCAATGGATGAGTTTGCAATGTTATGTAAGTCACAATCTAACACCTGCCCAAATTGGAAGTCAAGCAAGGCCAGCCCTGCAGTTCAATTTTTAATGGCAAATTAAAGAACACATTGGAATCTGAGTGTTTTTTTTTTAAGATTTTCTTACACGATAGTTGTTCAATAAAATCATCAAGAAATAACAATGTCAGCATACTTTATTAAATACTCTTAGCCCAGAAATTGCTACTAGAGCTATTTGACAGTTTTTATTTGGAGCTACATTTCTATTCACACTTGCTACAAATCTTTTACCTGAAATACTTTGTATGGAAACTCATTAAAATGCTCTCGTGAAAGGAGAGCACACCACTGCCTTCGCTTTGTCTAATAGCTCAGGACCTCTCGCTCATAAATTCATTCTAATTAAATTATGCTTCTCAAGGTGCTCCCTCTCACACAATCCTTATGTAATTGAACCTAATATTTTCTCCACAACTGATGTTACATTAAACAGGCTTTTACCACCTGATGGCCCCCACCCCTTCCTCCTTCCCTTATTTCCTTTTTCCTTTTTTTTTTTTGTTTTTTAGTTGAAAGGAAAGAGAAATCTAACCTGACAAGACACTTTTTAAAGTTTGCCTTAAGCTTTTAAGTTCTTTATAATTTTCTTAATGTGATACATAAAATACACAAGGACTCAAACAAATGTATCTCTTTGAGCACCAGAAAAAGAAAAAGAATTACATTTTAAAGTTCAATGAAAAAACAGAAAACAGGTCAGTTGATACTATTAGCCAGTTTTATCTCAAGGAAGTGTGCTATAGAGGAGCGGATGTGTCGATTAAAATTAGTACAATGGCTCATAAAATTATCAACAATCATTATATTTTCCATAGATAGGATAAAAGATACTGATTCTTTACGCTATCAGGGTATGTGATACTTAAGGTAACAACAACAAAAAAGCCAAATCTGAGAAAGTATGTGAGATCTTACTACATATCTTGGCTTATATTGCAGATTCCCATCAGAATTTTCTATTTTAAAATAAAACGTAGAGGGAGTCGTTGTTTTCCCTTTTACACTTTGCTGTGTTTCAGCAACCCTACAGAATAAATGGGAGTTTTATAAGAAAGGAATCATTCATACATGAAAAGATTATAGATGACAGAATTTCATAACTTTGCTAAATGTGTAAATAACTTGTCTACAGCCATAACAGAAGCCACTTAAATGAGTACTACTACCTTCTATTACTGCTATTATCACAGTTAGAAATATTATTAGCATTATACACATTGTTAAAATTTCTGGAGGTTTTTTGGTTTGTTTAGGTTTTCTTCATCTTTTCTGTCATTACTTGGGGATGAATACACATTTAATTATGTGGTTGTGATAATTCACTGGACTGAATAGGTAAACAACTCTAGAGCACTTGTGGAACCTAAGTAGATATGTCTTGTCTACCCAACATGACTGGTACCTTTTTAAGGTTTATGATACTGTTTTTTATTTTGGAGAATGTATACATCATTTTATAGCAGAAGCTCCATCAGCAATTGTTGACTGGCAGATCAAATCAAGAGGGTGACTCATTTTAATTAATCAGATGCTATATAAAGGCCAGTGTTTAGTATCAGAATTTTCTAAAGAATGGATCAATTAATCTTCCTTAATTTCTTTTTTTTTCTGTGTGAAGTCTAAAAATGTGTTGATTAATTTTAGCTAACCTCTAATGGGTACTTTCAATAGTCCAGGAGGAAGATTCTAAGTGTTTTACATGGATTAACTCATAATATTATTATCCCATACAGATGAGGAAACTGAGGCACTGAGCGGTCAAGTGATTTGCACAAGATCATGACGCTAGTCAAAGGGGAGCTGAGATCTAAAGCAGCAACTGGGCTCCAGAGTCCATGCTGCTAATGACTGCACTGCCTCCTGCTGTCATTTAAAATACCCCAGTTTGTCATCACTGCAAATGGTGACTAAGGGTCAATAGGGAATTGCATAATTCTAGCTCAACATACATACATATATATATATATATATATATATATATATATATATATATATATATATATATATATACATATATATATTTTGTGAGTTGGAGTCTCGCTCTGTCGTGCAGGCTGGAGTGCAGTGATGCAATTTCAGCTAACTGCAGCCTCCGCCTCCTGGTTTCAAGTGATTCTCCTGCCTCAGCCTCCAGAGTAGCTGCGATTACAGGCACGCACAACCACGCCCGGCTAATTTTTGTATTTTTAGTAGAGATGGGATTTCACCGTGTTGCCCAGGCTGGTCTCGAACTCCTGACCTCAAGTGACCCACCTACCTCGGCCTCCCAAAGTGCTGGGATTGCAGGCATGAGCCACTGTACTTGGCCATTCAACCTTTTTTTAATACATCACCAAAACTTAGCATACATGGAAAAGTATACACACTTGGAAGCACACCACATATCTATGAAGCTACGATTAGAAGGAACCAGAAAAAACTTCCATTTTCTTCCCAGGAAGGAAGCAATGTAGTATATACAATCTCAAGTCAAACGGATCTGAGTTCAAATTTCATGTCTACTACTCACGAGATACGGTACATAAGATTGGAAATGCTACATAAGCCATGGTATGCTCATCTCTAAAATGAGAGTGTTAGCAGTTGCCACAGAATAGAAGTGGTGTGAGAATCAAATGAGGCAACACAGGTAAATCGACTTGCATTTTTCCTTAGCATTTTGTAAATGATCAATAAATGGTAGCTATTAACAGATATCCTCAACCAGCAGTATGTCTTTTTTGCTTTGCACGAAGGGACCTACTTCATTAAATTTTGTTGTTACTGTTTTCCAAGAATGCTCCATCTAATCCTATTTTAAAATTTCAAATGTAAACATAAAAAGAGCTAAACATATTCACAAAGAGAGGACAGCATTGAAGAGTGATCTGTATGAACCACTGGAAACACGAGAACCACATTTCTGGTCTTTAGAATTCTACTGAAGGGTACCAGCCACGTTTCTTCACACCACTCCTTCTCCCTTAAAATAAGGACTATTCCTATTTCAAAATGGGAGGTGAGAGAATTGGAGAGTGATGATTTTTTAGTGGGCAAAGGCCGTTTTCCAACTCATTCCTAAGGATGGCAAACATAATACTTCAGAGTGATGAAGGAGGGGGGCAAGCCGGGGTGGTGAGGTCTCTGCCTTTTAAGCAAGCCAGCCAGCAAACACAAATGCATGCAATTTGAAATTTTAATTAGGGTGCCATGTGCTGGTGACATATGGCGACACACTGACAGCTGGGCATCCAGGTTCAGGAACAGACCTGGGTTCTGAAGTCACAGTTGGCAGAAGCAAAGTTCTCTGCTTGTGCGCTAGGTGCTAGCATGCCTGGAAAGTGCTCTGCCAACATCACCCCACTATTCAGCACTGCCTTCCGGTCGCATACAGACGCTGCCTGCCAGAGGACCACGACTGCAATTCAGATAGAGAGTGAAGAACGAATGAAAAGGAATAAAAAGAGTAAAACCCCCAGGTCCTATTCTCAGTTGCAAGCCCAGATAACATTCAAAACAATACAGCCATTGATTTTTGGTGACTTCTCAGTCAAAGACCCTAGTACTTTCACACTAAATCACCCTTGCAGGGGGTGCTCTCTCTGTCACCATAACAGAACACACAGCAAGGCACTGCCATCAAGAGCTCTGTGTTACCTGCTCCAAAGTCAATCAGAAGGAAGCCCTTATATAAAACCAAGTATGATTTAAAAGTCTGATTTGCATAGATTGGAAGATGAATCATGTTAGCAAAGAACTCTATCAAGATTGTATAAAGACATTTTAAGAAAACTTGTTAAACCGTGAAGGTCAAGTTTTCTTTTTTCTTCTCCCAGAATTTTTTTTCTGTGATGAATTAAATGTTGGTCAGTTTGACCTTTGAAGCTTCACAAGTTGCCTGAAAATGTCTTAAAATGGGTTAATGAATTGCCTTGTGGCTTTTTCATCCGCTCTTCCTTGCCCCACTTTGCCTGTTTACTCTACTTGAAGTGGGAATAGACTATCTATGTCTGTTCGTTCTTTCTCTTTCTTTCTTTCTTCTTTCTCTCTTTCTTTCTTTCTTGCATAGTTTCATTCTTGTCACCCAGGCTGGAGTGCAATGGCACGATCTTGGCTCACTGCAACCTCCGCCTCTCGGGTTCAAGCGATTCTCCTGCCTCAGCCTCCCGAGTAGCTGGAATTACTGGCACCCACCACCAAGCCCGGCTAATTTTTTGTATTTTTAGTAGAGATGGGGTTTCACTATATTGGCTAGGCTGGTCTTGAACTCCTGACCTGGTGATCTGCCTGCCTCAGCCTCCCAAAGTGCTGGGATTACAGGCATGAGCCACCGCGCCATGCCTACGTCTGCTGTTTCTAAGCAAGCCCTTGACTCACAGTAACTTGAATAATAACAAGGTTTCTTAGCCAAACCATGCAATATTAAGAGAATCATATTTGAATCCTTCTTTATCTACAGAGTGTTTTTGAGGTATAAATCTTTCACTATTAAGAACCAGAGTAGTGGCCGGGTGCGGTGGCTCACGCTTGTAATCCCAGCACTTTGGGAGGCAGAGGTAAGTGGATCGCAAGGTCAGGAGTTCGAAACCAGCCTGGCCAACTCAGTGAAATCCCATCTCTACTAAAAATAGAAAAATAAGCTGGATGTGGTGGCAGGCGCCTGTAATCCCAGCTACTCAGGAGGCTGAGGCAGAAGAATCGCTTGAACCCAGGAGGCAAAGGTTGCAGTGAGCCGAGATCACGCCACTGCACACCAGCCTGCGTGACACAGAGAGACTCCGTCTCAAAAAAAAAAAAAAAAAAAAAAGAACCAGAGTAGTAAATAAGCATGCCAAACTGCACACTCTACAACTCTGTGGGAAATCTGAGTTTCTAGCCATTACATAATGAAATTCTTCTGGAATATTATAAATATGGGGTCCAAACTCTTATCTCTTCGTTGCATTCCGAATACTGCTATCACATCAGCCAAATGAATTTAAGGTAGAGCCATCACTGAAGTGGAAATTCAAAATTCATCAACTTGATTAAAAGCCAGCAATTCCCTCTGTTTAATTAAACACAAATACATATGCATCACACACACACAGCGCGCGCGCGCACACACACACACACACACACACACACACACACACACACACACTCCTTTAAGGTTTTAAACAGTGTGACCTATATAGACTTTATTTTTTAACTATTGACACTGTTATGAGTATGCAGAGAAGTCGATTTACATCACATTTTATTCTACTTCAAGTTAATTTTTGGATATCAACAAAATAAGCTGAAGATTAACATCAGCCGTTTCAGGCTTCAGACAACACTGCTTCAAGCTGGAGAATACAGATACTAGAATTTACACCCTTCAGTTGTAAGCCCATTAACTAGTTTGGACAGCAAATATGCATTTGCACACAGTTAACCTTAAAAAAATTAAACATGCTGATACAAAAAAAAATAATATATAGTCTCCTATATATTAGCATGAGATCTTTGAAATAAAATGCCACTGGCCAGTCATATTGCATGCAACATTTGCTCTACGCTAAGAAATGTATTTACATGTACCCTTAAGAGTAGCAGAGAAAACTAAAAGAAAATATATTATCAATTCTAGACATTTTCCAAATTTATCTTAAACCAGCTTTTAGCTGGTTCAAGTGAAGATTTCTTTAACTTAATTAGGAGCTCCATAGCCATGACCTAGGAATTTACTAAGTAAGGCAGAATATTGGGCATGAGGATGCAAATTTTTGCCCTGCAAAAATCCTTTATAAAGTTTATACAAATTTCTTATCCAAATCAAATTTTAGGTATTGATTCCCTACTTGAGGTTTTCAGTAGCACACTAAAGCTATAATTTTCTCAGAAGATACCATTAAACTCTGTTTAAAACACATATAAAGCACCTACACATAAGACAAGAACAAACATACCTACAAAGCAAACTGACTTTTAATTTTCTTTGTAAAATTAAAAACTTGTAAACATGTTAATTACAGAGTTTAAAATATACTTTGCAAACAACATTAGTGGATTCTGAATTCATCTGTAGAGAAATAAAGCAAAGTCTGACTAAAAAGATCAAATCTATGGTACAGAAAAATTCAGTTACTCTGTAAGAAAATCCAGACTGATTTAAAACGGTTATAGTATTTTACTCTGCTTTCTTTATACGTCACATTTCTTTCTCACACAAGAACTAAGTTAATAAAAAGTGAAATTGAATTTCTAGCCTCCAAAATGACATTATTAAAAAGTAGCTTTTAAAAGAGATATTTCTTGTGGTTCTAAAAAGTATGTAAATTTTCACTGTTTTTCACAAAATGGTAAATTTATTATAAAACATTTACAAAAAATAAGTATCCCCTTTGAATAGGCTAAAACTGTAAGGGGATAAAAAAATTTATAAATCTGCAAAAGTAAAATTTTCAAACACAATTTAAATGCAGATAAAATGGATGAGGTAGCCAAATTACATTTTAAAATGTCTTAACTCTTAGTGACACAATATAGACAAAAATAAGGAAAATGATAATATACAGACAGAGGAGGGTACACAAGAAAGGTCAGGAGAACAACATTGTTTATGGGAATAAATTACAGACTAGACCTTGAAATACAAACGATTGAACAAAATTAAGGTTTAGGTGAAAGACTTCCGGCTCCTTGGGTTGCATTTCACTTACAAGCTGCATGTGCCTGTCATTTTCTTATATGGCTAAGATAATATTAATTAATAGGGGAACACATTCATGATGCCGTAAGACCCTGTCATCACAGCAGTTTTGACAAAGGAATCCCAATTGAGCAAAATTAACATTCCATAAAATACAACAGGAAAGGAAAACTTACAAATGTACACCAAGAATCCCTGCAACTGTTCATGCTGCCGAATAAATAAGAATTAATGAAAATATTTCAGTATAGATTCCTGGTTACCATGACTTAAAATGTGGCAGTTGAAGTCAGAATAACATACAACAAGAGGTGGTGAGAGAAAGAAGCAAAGGTTCACAGAATTGATGTCTCAGAAAGCTACAGAAAAGAGCCATAATTTTCAAAAGGGGAAATTGATAGGAACTTGTGAAGAATTCTATGCTGTGTTTACTTAGATATCTTTGAAAATGAAAAGAGCTCTATATAGTCAGAGTATCTGGATTTAATCCAGACACACTCATTAAACAGTTTTGAGAACCCTAGAAATTAAGAGCTGTAAGCAACCTGTCAATGGAAGGCCAGGAACAGGGCAGTTTAATTAAAAAGAAAAGTGATCAGCATGGGATAGTGGGAAGGGCACTGAGTTCAGATCTACTTTGTTATCTTTGCCAGTTCCTACATACAGGACCTTGAACATGGTGCTTCTTTACCAGCAAAATGATAGGGTGAAGTCAAGGCCATATTTCTTTCCAGTTTTACAATTCTTTATCTCTATAACCTAATATCTACCTTGCCTACCTTACAGGGGTTTTGTGAAAATTAATTAAGTTTGCATGGAAATTATAAAATGTTATTTTTTAAAATATAGGGACAGTTAACACGACCTAAAGTTGATATAAATAAGGGAAGGAGAAACGTTCCAACTGCAAAAAGATGAACAAAATACAAGGCAAAGACATGATGCTTGCACTACTGATGTCTTCAGAAAAAGAAGTGACTCTGTTCACTCAAAGAAATCTGACAGCGATCTGAGACATGGTGTCTTTCAGACAACACATACTTTAAAAATACTAGAAAATAACAAAAGGTACTACCGTCCATCAGTGACTGGCCCAAGTGTTGTGCTGAGCACTTCCCTAACTTATCTCCCCAGTTCTCACTACCTTCTGGGGTCAGTGTTTTTATGACATCTTAATGGATGGGGAAAAAATGAGACTTAAAGAGTTTAAAACCAAGGTCATCTATAGTAAGGATTTGAACCTAGGTCTCCGCCTGACACTAAATTATCTTGTTAATCAAATTAATTAATTATCAAGTCAAATCAATCTTGTTAATCTTAACCACCACATTATACTAATGCTGTTCCTCTCTGTACAAGCACTTCCCCTATTTTAATTAAATTCATCAGGCCAATCAGTTAATTGGGTCCAAAAGTTAAGTTGACTCTGGATGTATGTAGACAAAGCCCTCAATAAAAATGTAGGCATAAGGAGGCATTCTCTTAAGAATGTGTACTACAATTATCACTTCTATTAAAGTGGGATGTTTGCCTTTTGGTATTTCCAGGAAAGGCACTAAGGACATACTGGGGAAAATGTTAAAAGGAAAAAGTGGTCATATTATAAAGTAAATGCATTAACCATCAGAATTTTATTTCTAGGACCTAGTGGTTTTGCAGCTTGTTCTGCAAATATTTCATATTTATGTATCATCTTTGGTAGAAGCAAAATATACCTGACAACTGATAATCCTTCATCTCTTTTCTACTCCAACTAATGGAAAAAACATTTGCAGAACTACACTGAAAGGCACCTACAATGAATTTTGCCAACAGAGGAAGAATGACTTATTTTTACCATACATTAAAAACTATTTGTTTCACCTAATTCAGGAGCTATTCCCTCTCTCTTTAGACAGGAAGGGAGGGTAGTTATAGAAGAAACAGAACACCAGAGAGAGTGACTTCCACATGTCATTAGTTGTCACTTCACCTAAGACACCTCTATACATGGAAAAGTTTGAAACAAACACGCAAACAAAAGATCCTTCTTGTAGTATTCAGTGATCAAAAGAAAAATACTGCAAGTCATAGCAGAGCTTCTTCTCTTATTATGCTTTTCTGCTCAATTTTATACTCAACTATTCTGAATAGCAGAGATAACAATTTTCATAAGCATGTGAACGTTTTATAAATTGGTCCAAGCCAAACACATGGACATCTGCCAACTTTGATAGGTTTTGGAGGCACATTCAATGATAATAGCCATGTTTTCCCCCACATTAGAGGATTCTGGCAGTGGTTTCCAGTTTTGAACGCTATACTAGGCTAATCTGAAAACTATTTAACAGAGGAGTTTAAGAATCTGAGTACCAAAGTTTTCAAGAGTGAGAAACAAAAATGTTTAAATTTTAAAATCTAAGCTAGGGCCAGGTAAGCACAAAGGCCAAGATGCAGGATGAAAATGAGCAACATCTCCTCGGAATGTTGGTCATCTACTTGGAGTGTTGCTAATGAGACACATTACCATGGGTGATTTATGGAGTTTCCTCTTTAGATCAGAAATACTTCCCAAACCACCTCCCACTTGGTGCTTCGGCACTTACAGTAAATGAAGTCAAGACTGAAAATACACACAACTCCTTCCTTACTTTGACATTTCTTTTTTTTTCTTTTTTTTTTTGAGACAAGAGTCTCGCTCCGTCACCCAGGCTGGAGTGCAATGGCACGATCTCGGCTCACTGCAACCTCCGCCTCCCCAGTTCAGGGGATTCTCCTGCCTCTGTCTCCTGAGTAGCTGGGATTACAGGCGCCCACCACCACGCTCAGCTAATTTTTTTTGTATTTTTAGTAGTCATGGGGTTTCACCATGTTGGTCAGGCTGGTCTCAAACTCCTGAACTTGTCATCTGCCCACCATGGCCTCCCAAAGTGCTGTGATTACAGGCATGAGCCACTGCGCCTGGCAAGGTATTTTGACATTTTAAACCTCCAAAAAGGTTCAGTTCCACATGGTGGCCTAAAACTTGCTAATTTAGAAGACTAAAGAAAAATAAATTTTTTGTTGGATTATTTCTAATATGCTTCAAAACTTGTTATTTTTTGGCCGGGTGCAGTGGCTCATGCCTATAATCCCAACACTTTGCACTGTGGCTCACACCTGTAATTTTGGGAGGCCAAGGCGGGCGGATTACAAGGTCAGGAGATCGAAACCATCCTGGCTAACACGGTGAAATCCCATGTCTACTAGAAATACAAAAAATTAGCCAGGTGTGGTGTCACGCACCTGTAGTCCCAGCTACTCGGGAGGCTGAGGAGGAGAACTGCCTGAACCCGGGAGGTGGAGGTTGCAGTGAGCTGAGACTGCACCACTGCAATCCAGCCTGGGCACCAGAGCAAGACTCCATGTCAAAAAAAAACAAAAAACAAAACAACAACAACAACAAAACTTGTTATTTTTAGTAAATTTTAAGTCACGGGTTTGAAAAGTTAACAGGTCTCTGTAAGGGCAAGGCCAAATCCCAAACTCACGTACTCAGAAGACTGTTAAGAGTTACTTAGCATCTAGAAGAAAATTTATGGTTTTTTAATAATTTACCAATATCTGTGGGGGGAAAAAAGCAGATCTCTGATTAGTGCAACCACCCCCATTTTGTATGATGGATGTAGGGTAGGGGAGGGGAAGAGAAACAAATTGATTTGAATGCCATGGCATCACCAGGCTGAGAAGGGATCGGAACCCAGAAAGAGGCACATCACAACAACTTCTCAAAGTTTTTCAAACAGAGCTACTATCTACACAGCAGAAGCTGATGGAAACAAAAACCTTCAGCACTATCTCCTGCCTAATTGAATTGGTGCCTGTAATGGGAGGAAGCTGTTTCTCAGAACCCAAAATAAATGGTGCTGGGAAAGGGAGGAGGCAAAAAAAAACCAGGCTAGAGACAAACAGAATTGGTGGAACAGGCACCCAGATTCTCCGGAAAGCAAATCCCGTTTAGCATTTATCCACTCAGGTCACGGTGAAGCCTGTATCATAGCAACTTGAGACTTTAAATACTACTATTCATTTGGTCATTAGTTTCTCTTGGTTCCTTTTACTTACCCGTATTTTTGATAGCCAAATCCTTAAAAGAAAGCAGAGACTATGAGAATGTTGTCAAATTTCAATAATGCTCAAGGGGGAAAAAAATCGCCAATCTCTTAATGGTTTGGTCTAACATTCTTTCTGGAGTTACCCAGTAACAGATTAATGTAGCTAAGCATTGTAACATTGAGCTAAAGTACTAAGAAAACATGCCTGAAATTTACAAATAGGCTACCCTTGCTTGCTTGAAAAAAAAAAAAATCCTTCATTTTCACTGCCAGTTTCTTTATTTATCTTTAATTTATTGTGGTGTCAAAACCCATGTCTGGTCTTGGAAAAATTTTGGCACAAAGTTGGCTTTTTATAGTACCAGACCATTAAAACTACAAACCTCAATTTAAAAACTGCCAGAAGAGTTTGGTGCTCAGCAGAAAAAAATGATACAAAGACTGCCATGGAGAAAGGAAGAAAAGAAGTTGGTGTTGCAAGAAGTCTAAATCATGTGACTAAGATTTTAAGTACCAGGGTAACCAAATATGGTCTAGAGTGAATGTATGTTATTCAACTCATATTCCTGGACCCTGATTTCCCACATATTCTAATTAGAAACTGTGTAACTACAGGTCATAAAATTTGTTTGTTTGTTTCAGTGGATGCCTAGACACAATCAGGTATATCACAATATGTGTAAATAACATTTGCAACAAACCCTGAGATAGATTAGCTATCATTCTGCCTGACTTGTTTGATTAAATGTGAATCATTCTTGTGATGTAACCATAAAAATGGGATAAGACGTGTGTCTGTTTTAGAAGGAAAATACTGGAAGCCACACATTTGGAACTTTAAATCCCAATTCTTACAGCAGCACAACTCAGGAACATGGCCTGGCTTCCAGGAATGATTCCACACTCCAATCCATGCCTGGCATAATGTTGGTAGCACAGAAATAATAAACAGCTGGCAAATAAAGGAACCGCCAACCTCATGGTGCTGCTGCGGAAAGAATTAATTAGTGCAAAGCATCATGGAGATGGAATCTATTCTGATGAAGACCATGTTGTGTGGTCATTAAGACCGTGGCCTCTAGTGTCACCTGCCTGGTGCCAATTTCCTGGTCAGTAAAACATGGGGGGAAATAGTACCACCTCTCTAAAGAGGTAGTGTGAGGATTAAATGAGGTAACTGATGGAGAGGCTTCCAACGCTACCTGTGTGCCACATTGCAGCACTCAACCAATGCTATTAAAATATCATTATTCTTTAATATCACATTTAATTTCATTAAATTCACTAAATATCATTATTAAAATCAAACAGCACGGTAAGAAGAACAAGCAATACGTGACATTATTCCTTATCCTAAGACTGTAAATGTGAACTAAAGTTCCCCAGATCCAAGATGTGACCCAGACCCAGTCCATTCATCAGTAAGTATTCAGTGAGTTTCTAGGATTCAACACGCCTAGCCCTCCTGCTTAGCCAGTCTCCTCGGATGTAAGAAGACAGGAAGTCTTTTTAATATAGGCAAACTGAGTCTGCATAGTAAAACACTAGCAGTGAACTTACTGATATAGATCTACTGACTTGAAAGCTGGAGACGCAACCTATGGCAGCCTTTTTTATTTTTATTTTTTGAGATGGAGTCTTGCTCTGTCGCCCAGGCTGGAGTGCAGTGGCCCGATCTCGGCTCACTGCAACTTCCGCCTCCCAGTTTCAAGCAATTCCCCTGCCTCAGCCTCCCGAGTAGCTGGGACTACAGCTGCGCGCCACCATGCCCAGCTAATTTTTTGTATTTTAGTAGAGAGGGGGTTTCACCATGTTGGCCAGGATAGTCTCGATCTCCTGACCTCATGATCAGCCCACCTCGGCCTCCCAAAGTGCTGGGATTACAGGCGTGAGCCACTGCACCCAGCCAATGACTTTTAACCACACTCTAGAGCACTCTCTCCAAACCTGTAACTCCAGGGCCTGAAGCCATATGCAATCCAAGCAGAGCAGAACAGAAGCAGAAGGGCAAGAGTCACTGCCCTAAGGTCAGGCCCCAGCTCCACACTCTAATCTTCAGGGCTCCTTGTCCTTGTCTGCTTAGCTTCTGAATCTGTCTCCTCCATACCTTGCCAGCCCACGACCTGCCAAGACCACTGCTTTCTCTGGGCCACAGAAGACCATGCCTTTCCTTGACCCGTTACCCTACTATACCTCCTGATACCAGGACTTTGATTTGATTACAGTTATCTCCTTGGTCCCTTATTTGCCTGACTGGTCATAATGCCCCACAATTTTTAAGAGACACCATACTGGCCATTTTTTATATAAATCATGTGTCATTTTCACAGTAAGCCTATTAAATGGATACTACTATCCTTATTTTACAGACAAGGAAGCACTTATTGTACCTAAGTAATTTGACCCAGATGGAATCGGACAAACAGGAATCTGAAAACTTGCTCAGGCACCAATTAGTATGACTTTAATATACGTAACTTGGAAAAATACAAATTAGGTATGACCTGGTAGCAACAGTTAAGAGTAAAAGAATGACTAAATCTGGCCCTAGTTTTTGAAGATGGGAATTTTCAGATACACTAAATGACTGATTTCTACATTACAAGAACAGATTTCTGTCTACCATAAATGCCCTAGAAGAGTCACAGAATTCAGCTAAAAGATGACGATGATGATGATGTCGATGACGACACAATAGCACAAAGTCAAATAATTTGCCTAAAATCAAACAGCATCCAAGTGGCTGGGCCAGGATTTAAACCCAGATTAATAAATTGTCCTCTTTTAAGATCCAAGAGTAAATGCACAACTCATATGGGGAAAACAAGTTTTTCAAGCTAAAATAGAACAGAAAAAAAAATTCCTAGCATCTTGTTATTGGTTCCCAGCATACCTCTTTCTTTGCAGCCCATGACACAATAGATGTTTTTGTTGAGCTCGGAGGGGCTATTGCTATGTTGTAACTCTGTGTGCTTTCTGGGATCATGTTCTTCCTTCTCTGAAATCTAAAGATGGTCATGTAAGAAAACTACCAGGCTGGCCAACACAGCGAAATCCCATCTCTACCAAAAATACAAAAATTAGCTGGCGTGGGGGCGCGCACCTGTGGTCCCAGTTACTCCGGGGCTGAGGCAGGAGAATCACTTGAACCCGGGAGGCGGAGGGTGCAGTGAGCCGAGATCGCACCACTACACTCCAGCCTGGGTGACAGAGCGAGACTCTGTCTCAACAAAAACAAACAAACAAAAACACTTCAAGGGTAAGCTAACCCTGCTTCAGTTTAACAACTGGCTAAACCAGGCCCAACATCTCTGGGAACACGGAGTCCACCTCAAGCAGGAGGCAAAGTGAGCGAGGCTATTCAACCTCCTTACTACAGGGCTGCCTTTTCCCCACCCTGTGGAGAAGGAGGGCACAGCCCGCTCTCACACAGACCCACTTCAACAAAAGGAAAATGGAGATGGGGCTGTGATGAGACCTGCCCTGGTTTTCAGCAGGGACAGGACTTTAAACAGTGGCATTTATACGGTTCTGAAGTCTTCAAGGCAGGGAAAACATTAAATGCTTTTTAAAAATCCTGCACCACAGAAACAAGACTTAAAGGCAAGTTGTGGGCAATCAATACTTCTCTACTCCTGCTGCTAAGCAAAGTTGCAGAGGATAGGCCAGTCTGTGGTACTGAGTCTAGAAAGAAAGGAACAGATCTTTCTGAGACTGTTCTCTGACACTGCAGAGGGAGTGGGTGGCAATATTGAGTCTAAACGGAGCGCATCTCCATGCCACCACCACCGCTCCTTACACTTCCCCAGGAAAACAAACTGCCTCACAGATGCATCGATTTCTGAGTTGAAATATAAAACGAGAAGAGTAATTTTTAAATGACTAAGGCAGTTATGGCAGTTGGAGAAGCAGCTGAGGGATGGTGCTAGCAACCTGGGTAGGATGCCATTTCAACTGCTGGGAACTTGTTCTCTTTGGAAGTGGATATACCAGCATGGATGCTAACATGAGAAGGGGGGCTCGGGCAGGTCACAAGGGATCACAGATCTCATTTCAATATGGCATAATAATAATAATAGCAGTCGTAGTAGTAGTTACGGGGAACATTTGTTAAATGCTTACCATATGCCAAGCAATATGCTAAGCACTTTACCTGAATTATCTCATTTAATTCTCATAATCACCCTATAAGGTAGGTGCATACTTTTACAGTTGACATTTTACAAATAAAGCAACAAGGGCTAACAGGGTGAAACTGGCTCTTTACTGAATCCTTCCAGGGCTTCCATGTATTATGAAAGCAAAAGTACAGCACCACTGGGATGCCAAAGTGACTAAGCAGGGATAGCACAGATGTCCTAAGAGTGAAAATGTACGAGATCCCAGCACTGACATTTAATAGTTATATGACCTTGGGCATGCCACATAACCTCTCTTTGGCTCACTTTCCTTCTCTGTAAAATCAAGGTGATAACAGTACTGTTTCATAAGGTTGCTGTAAGGATTAAATGAGAGAATATATGTAAAACAGACTCTGGTGCATTAGTAAAAGAAGTACATAGGTATCCGTTGCTATTATTTTATTATTATCTCTAGGGGACATATTTTTACCTAAAAAGAAACTTAATCTGTCTCAAATGCTACTTCCTATAAGGCATCTTTGCTGTCTACTTAACAGAGGCAATTGCTCCCTCTTTTATAATTCTTTAATATTCTGTTCACATAATGTGAGAGGTCTTGGCACAATGTATGGTAGGTAACTTACCTATTTACATACATGTCTCTTCCACTGACTGAACGATTTAATGGACAGAAGCGTTTCTCATCACAGTTGCACGCCCATTGCCTAGTACTGAGCCGCCACACTGCCATTAATTAATAGCAGTGGCAGCAAAAATAACAGTAAGTTAATACTTGTGTGACCAGAATTTTACAACATATCACATTTAATCTTCACAATAATCCTATGATGTAGAAAGTGTTTTTACATCTCACTTTTACAGAGGTTCTGAGTGGCTGAACCACCTGCGGCAGTTCATACAACTAGTCAATGGCAGAGCCAAGACTCAAGCACAGGCAGACGGATGGCTCACAGCTCTGTCTTCTCCCAACCAGTGTGCTCCACCGACTCTCAATGGAGCACTGAAAACATTCGTTTAACAATGTATTTTATAATACAATTCTTATGAGTATAGGTAATAAAATGTAGGATTGAGTAAAATTTAAGGTAAATGAAATATTTTGGAGTATTCTAACTTGCCCAACATTTTATTCCCAATGTGATTAGGAAAAGTGCAAAAGGTAGAAAAGAAGGTAGTAAACGTAGTTTGCATCCTTGTGGGACTGACATCATAGTGCAAAAGATAAATAAATAAAATGAGTAATCAAATAAATTAACAAGAGCATTTCAGACTGTTATTAGTATTATGGAAAATATAAACAGGAAGGACAATTTTAGACAGAACACTCTTTTACAGGGCTATTATTCGAACTGAAAGAACTGAAAGGTAAGAATAAGCCAGCCACAAAAGGAGCTGGGAAAAATGCATTCTAAGCAGACAAGTAGCAAATGGGATGGCAGGTTCTGAAAACTGAAAGGAAACCAGTATGGCTGGAGCATCTAAGGAGTCACGGTTAAAAAAAAAAAAAAAAAAAAAGTGGGGTTAGAAAGGTAGATACAGAAGCCAGACAGATCATGCAGTGTCTTTGCAGGCCAATGCAACAAGTTTGGATTTTATTCTAGATGCATAAGAAAACATTGGAGGTTCTTACGCAGAAGAGTGATATAAACTAACTAACTTCTTTGAAATACCACTCTGGCTATGGTGTGAAGGAACAAGAATGGAAAAAGAGGGAATACTCAGGATTACCCAAGTAGTCTGGGTAAGGATGATGGTGGCTTCAACTGGAGATATTCCCCTTTTTTTCCTTTTGATTGACAAATTTCCACATAAAAACTAGAAATGCATTTTATACTTATTCCAGTTGTTTATTCAAATTCAATTTCTTTAGGGCTCAGAAGACTACTACCTATCTTCTTTAACGTCTTCATTATACATATGTGGAAACAGGTATAGTGGGCTTACATAACTTGCTAATGTCACAAGAGTAATTAACAGGAAGATTTGACTCACTTAACACATGTCAGGGTGCAAAGATAAAGCATGTAAGTTTAAAAAGTTTTCTGTTACCCCCCAAAAGCCTGCCAAATTTTCATATTTGGAATTTGCAGCTATCCTTAGACATTAAAACCTTTTAAAAGTGTTTAAATCTCACATTAGTTCTCATATTAACGTTAAGCAGTCCAGCATTCTGCTCAGACACAGAGATGGAACTTTCAGGGTTAAAAGAATGTAAGTCAAGTCAGAGAACTGTGTGTTATGTCTGGGAAAAGTTCATAGAAGTAACTTTAAACTCCTCTGTTTTCTTTCAGTTCCTTCCTTCGTGTTCATGTGCAAATTATACCTTACTCTCCAGGTTGCATTTTACCATTTTCCTCTCGTTTCTCTAAGAAAGCTCCCCAAAGTGACAATGCTTTTTTAAAAGGGGCCAGTATGAAGTTCCTCTGAGTTCCTGCTCTCTTGGAGCACGGCTCCTATCACACAATAATGTGTTATTTTGTTGAATTTTGGCATCCTTCTAGCTTGTTTGGTCAGAAGCCAAAAAATTAGAGTGTGTCGGTCCACCAGTTTCTCAGCAGAGAAGCTCTCTTCTCACCCAGCGAGTGTGCTGTACCCTTGGCCTCTGGCCAAGAAGGGAAATCCATTTTACATAAAGAATGCACAAAGCTCAAGTGCTCAGAGACTTTTTACCTACTAAAATAACTTTATGGACAAATGCCAGTCTGCTAGACACATTCAGCAAGAACATTTGGCATGCAAAACAAGGTAAAGTACTCTGTGGAGGTAGCAAGTTTTTTAGAAACAAGGAAATGGCTGTGCGTGCCCTCGTGGCATGTCACGTGGCTTGGCACTGCCGGCTGATTGGCTGCGGCCGAGTAAATACAGCCGCCATGTAAGGAGCGGAACGTCGCCCTTCACTGGCTCCTTAAAATGGCGGCCTGAACCCACACCAGGAGAAGCAAGCCGAGTCCCATTCTCAGTTTCCCCTCTGAAGTTTTTTGTTTTTTGTTTTGTTTTGTTTTTTTGGGTTTTTTTTTTTTTTTTTGGTTTTTTTTCCCCCCCCCATAAACCTTACGGATCTGAGTAGAAACAGATTTCTCACAACTTGCTTCTCCGGCTCAATTTCACAGTTCGGCATACACTCAGGCACTGTCAAAAGCTTGACAATGTTCCAGGGAAAATATTAACCGTAAACTTTCCAAGAGGAATTAAAGGAGCAGGCAGAAATGTCAGGACGTCCTCTCTTTTGAAAGCACATCCCAAGTTTGCGCACGTGTACGTTTTGGAGAGAAGCACATGCAGCAAGCTCAAATGACATCCAGTATGGTCCCACTTTACCATGTCACGGTGGAAAGGGAAGGGGAAAAAAAGGACATATCCTCTTTGGCTAAAAGGCACGGAGGTCTCTCCCTCTCCCTCTCAGGCCTGACCAGTTGAACACTGCACACTCTGATGTATAAATATTTGCCTCTGGCTAAAGTTCAAGCAGCCCTGTGTGGCTGCCAGACACAACAGAAAACCAACATCCAAGGGAAAGTGTTTACTGCAGTGGGGGCCAAAGGAGCAAGTGCCAGCAAAAGATCACATCTGATTGGCCAGGCATGTCTGTGGTGTTACCATAAAGCACCTGGCCACTGGCCACTGGTCGCTGGGGTGTTCCCACCCTTTTAGTGATGGTTATGTTCTTTAATGCACAGCCTTGCCACAGTTAACGCAAGACGAAAAGACATCCTGATGGTTTATCGGTGTTCCTCCAGAGCAAGGGGCTTGAATGAGCCAAACCACCCTGCCACCACTACTGCAAAACAAGCATTTGCTCCTTGAAACTACCTAGATAAGACCTGTGACCTTTCTGCATGGCTCCCACCTTCTGACGTGCACGCCTCCTACAAACCTCCCAATTCCCATCCCTAGGTATTCTATAATTCTGTAGTCCATAATTCTATAATTTAAGCATCTCTGAAATTCCTGCAGTAAAAGAAATTAAAAGAAACCTCTGATAGGTGGCTGCAACAAAATATTTTAAAGTAATGGATCCTCCCAAGTCTCCCTCCAAGAACCAAAATATACACTGTGCCATTTTACCAGTACTATAGTACTGAAACAGGTAGAAATAAGAGAAGCTGCCCATCAAAAGATTACGATCTCTAATTAGGATAAAGGAAGTAAATGAAAACAGGTCTTGAAAAAAATCTTTTTGGAAAACTTGCAAGTATAGTTAATGCTAAGCATGTAGCTGTCAGGGCAAAGCCTTTTCATGGTTTTCAATATTCGGGGAAAAGGTTGACTACAATCATAAGTAATAATATTTTTAAATCACTGTCATTCATATAACATTTCTATCTTCATAAACAATAATTAAACTTTTCCCTAATGCTGCAAATGAAATGTCTCTTTTTGGCTGAACCAAAAAGCTATACAGAAAACTGGACAAAAACTTCGGGGAATATGAAGAGAAGAACTTATTTTAAGTAATTTTTTTGATATTATGGAACAATAACTTAGGTAAAGCAAGCCAAACTGTTATGATTTCATCTGTTTCAAATAAAATACACATTTGTTTAACGGAAACATTTGCTGTTTGTTGAAAATAAAGATTTTACGTCCCTACACAAATTACAGTTCTAACTTTGAAAATTCTTCAAGGTCCTGAATCTTGATTAATCTTAGGCTTAAGGATATTTCTAAAGTTGAATTTGTTGCAAAGCTAAAATCATGCATCAATTTCATTTTCAATTGTTTCTGAAACTTTTAACAACTTCATTGGTTTTGTCTAATCTAACTCTTAACCAAACATGCCACTAAGTTTGATCTGTGTTCGACCTTAGAAGCCTAGGACTTATAGTATCAAGTCCAGCTTCCAAGAGATCCCAGTGAATCATGTGCAAGGGGATCACAGAGGAATGTTCTGTTCCCAGCTGTGAACAAGACAGAATTAACTCTAAGATGCTTCCTCCTGCTGCCCTGGTGGACAGAAAGGTCAAGATGGTTAGCTCATGTAGTCACAGTATGAACCGTCAAAACAACATGTATGTTAAAAATAGACTGCAGGCAACCAAAATACAAATACAGAAAGAATTTAAAGTAAAAATAGTTTTTATATATTTAAATTTCAGCTTCAAGTATTTTCAAAGACTGTAACCTAAAACCAAGGAGAAAAAGGACAAAGCAATAATTTTCCCAAGTGCATTCACTTAACAAACTTTGAGTCTTAAATTTTAAAAAGCAACCATTCTGACCCATATATGACACTTTTCTTAGGAAATTCCTTGGATTCACAAGTAATTCATTGGGAATTAAAGCACAAGAGGCACATTTACCACTTTTATTTGTTTATATTTTGATAACTGCATTTTTCTCAGCCCAATTTCTATGGAAATAAAAATACTATTTACTATCACAGGAATTTCTTTATGTATCAGTAGGGAATAGAGTTGAAATATTATGAGGTGGTTTTTTTAATGCAATGAAATTATCAAGACATTCCACAGTGCTATGATACATCAGTTCTATCACAGCCATGTAGAAAACCAGGGGTAACTGCTGTTTTATATGTAAGTAGATACTTAACACTTATCACCAAGCAGCATGTTTAATAAAGTCTGTTGCATTTGTATGATAAAATGTTAAAACAATAATAAAACTAAAGTGGAGATGAAAGTAATTCCATCTTACAGACTTTCACAATGAACAAAAATGTACCTTCTAAATAAAAATTATGTTACAAATGTAAATATTCTTTTTAAAGCTGCTGAATGCATCCCTTTACTAGGAAAGGCTTAGCCATGTTATTTGCAATTCCCTCATTGCACAACAATGTACATTACTGTCTGTAAGCTCTAATTTGGCATGGCGCATCATTAATGACCTGAATGGTGGCTGTTTCACACATACATATTTAATTACAACAGCTGAACAAATTACATATTTATGCTTTATAAAGGGGATTGCCAGTCTAATTCATTTGCTATGCATGCAGGTACAGGACTCCATCTGCAACAGCATCTGCACAACAAGAGCTAACAATTATCCATTGTACAGCAAGTAAGCATATCTGGGGAAACCTGTAAGGGAGGCAGTCATATTAACTATTTCACTGCCTCAAGCACTGTATTTTTTTCCAGGGGTCAAAATCTTTTAAAACCTTGAGTAGTAACTCAATAATAAAAATTTTAGCTCTTATATGCCAGCCCCGTCATTGAGAAGAGTCAACCGACCCTCTAATCCATGCTAACTTCCAATGGGTTTAAGATGAGATGGAGAAATAAAGATTCTAAATCCTGTACTATAGTGAGGTTGTACTTTGTGTGACTTCTTATCATGAGCAGACATTTTCTTATAAGGGAATACGTTGAATTTTCAGCCCCAGAATTCAAGCACTGGTCCTTAATGGCCCAATAACACGGTTTGCCAAGATGTTAGCGGGTCTTACCATCCACCTAGATAGAAGCTGAATCTTTGTTACCATGACCCCATCAGACCATCTACTTGGGTGTTTATAAAGGATGGGCCTAAATAACTTTTTTAAAAGAAAGCACACTTGGAGCCTTTTTGAGAGTCCCAAGACTTCTGTCTGCTGAGCCATTCTTATCATCAATATATTCCAGCTAAGCCACAACTAAAAGCTACTCTTCTCTCTTGGTAATAAAGTCGTATTCACCAGTGCTGCAACCCCATCTTAAATGGCTGTAGGACTTTTGTATGTTTAATTTAATATATCCAATGAGTAATATAAATATTCTGGACCATCACTTCTACTTCAAAACCCAAAGAGGAAGAATTAAGAGTCAGCCAATCAATAGTGAGGTTTCCCATTATCATTTAAGGCTTTTGCTGGGCAATAAAGAGGCTCCATAGTGATGGCCCCTAAAAGCTCCTTACGGCGTCTTTGCCTCTTTAGGCCACAAAATCAAAGTATGAGTCAGAGGTGTGGGGTTTTTAATGTTCCCTCTTGAGTGACGGAGTTCAAGCCAGGGGCTAACTGGGGTGGGTGGGGTGAAGGAATGGCAGTGCTGGCCATGATGCTGGATGGGAGGGGACACAATCAGGGGCATCCACCTGCCTCTTTCAGTGTGACTCGTCCTGAGGAGTCAAGAGGTGCTGCAGAGAGGATGCTCTCTTAGCTATTCAGGCCATTCTCAGCTGTGTGAGGGCCAAATTCACATAATGCATAAAGAGTCCTGATTGACTCGATATCAGCCGCCTGTGGAAGAGTCAGCCTTTGGTCAGAAGATAAACAGAGTGAAAGAAATGAAAACCACTGTGGCTTCTTCTAAAGGCTGATGGACCTTTAGTCTAGTGCTTGATATATGGGGTTGTAAATCCAATCAAAATCAACTTTCACCCCCCAAAACATCTCTGCACTCGATAGGGGGCTATTGGAAATACAGTCTCACCTGGTGCAAAGCAGGGTTAGCAACTCTCAGTAGGCCAGAAACCAGATGAGAGAAAGGGGCCTACATAGGGTTTGAATCCCTTACCCTTGACTTTCAAAGCGTCAGGATATTTGAGGACAGGCTTCTTGAGCCAAGATAGCAGCCTTCAGGTGTGTCTTGTAAAGCAAACAGCTGCCCTCAAAGCTCTGCTAGCACCTAGTACTCCACCAGATTCCTCAATCAGGAGCTCCAATGGCAATGACTCAAAGGTGGCATGTCGCTTTATCATTTACAAACGCTTTTACGAATGGCATTGCATTTGATCCCTGTGAGGCAGCTATGTCCACTTTATAGCTGAGAAAACTGAGACTCGAACAAATTGACTTGCCCAGCATACAGCTAGTAAGTACAGAACTAGGAACAATACCCCAGACTGCCTGATTCCAAATCCTACCTTCTTCTCTTAAGAGGAATCCTAGCTTCACTGCCTCCTCTCCTGTCTCACTTGTTTATACAAGGTTGTCACCCCCAAAGCCAGGTGCATCAGTCTGGATGCATCTTTATCAGCACTGATGCTGGCTTCAAAAGCAAATGTAACAGAAACTATTGGTGTCCTCCCCACATGCTGCTCACACTCCGTGGAGGTCACCTGGAGCTGGGGCAGACATGCTGTCCAACTTGAAGCACAAACACCGTAGTCTCTCTGCCTCAGGGCTTTCTCTGTCCACATGGCAAAGTGGGGCAGGCTGAAAGGGCAGGGGACTTAATGCACTCAGGAGCAACTCTCAACTAGTGAAAGACAAGGAGTTGCTTCTCAGTTAAACAATGAGGCATGTTCTACAGTCTGTCAGGGAGGTGCCCACAGGCAGGGAGCCCAATCTCTCACAGTGATAATCTGCTCATTAGGGCATCCGTTATTGAGTATATGCCCTCACCATACTTCCTGGGATCACCTCCCAAATAAACTATAATACTTGCACTCAAAACCTTGTTTCAGAGTCTGCTTGTGAGGAAACCCAAACCACAGAAACAAGTATTAGCTCCTTTAGCAATGAAAGCCTGGCTTCGGGGTCCACTGCAAACTGTAAGCTCATGCTATTCCACTTCAATTAATTCGTTATCAAACATTATGCACAGAGTATGCATCATCCTTTTAAACAAGTGGATGACTTCCAATAAGGCTGCAGCCTTACCACAGTCACAGGGGCAAACACTGGAGATACACGGATTGAATCCTGATTCCACCTATCTGGTTACACATATCCTTCAGCAAGTTATTTAACATCAGTGATGATCAGCTCCTCCTATATGAAAGGAGGATAATGGCTCCTATATCGTGGTAGAATTGTTTTTTAAGGCATTTGGAAAAGCACCTAGCATATAGCCTAGGCACTTAGTAAAAATTCATCCTTATCACTAATATGGAAGCCAAAAGTATGTCAATATGATTTGGACAAATGTTAAAGAGGAAAAAAATTCTCAAGGTAACAAACTTTTTCCCCTATTACTTTACCTTCTAGCCATTTTTATTTAACCAAGCACAATTCAAATGCTTTGACAAACTAAACTAATTATTTGCCAGTGTGGGTGATATCACCCTAAAAGTTATGGGTAATACTCAACACCAGCTCTAAGTCAATGCCACAGGTACCTCAGCTGACCTTGGCAAATTTTCAAAGTGCAAAGCCATCCTCTACTTCATTTCTGCCTTGATCTCTGGCGATCTAGGGGAAGTGGGCAAAAGTAATAACTAGGGACCCACATAAGATAAATGAGCTCTTGTAAGGTGCCATATACCAATTCATGCGCTCGAAGGGAGATGAATGGTGCCTTGAAAGAGCTGATTTACTGTCTAAGGATAAAGTCTCCTATAGATCTTCATTAAGAATGCTAACTTCCCAAGGTTGATTTGCAAGAGTGGCTACTGTGTGGGAGAAAAGGCAAAAAATAAAGTTTGCAAATGTCAAGGTCTTACAGAACCAATAATAGAGTTGGTTTATTAAAGCTCCTCTCTATTCAGGATGGTTCAAATTTGAGGTGGGAGTTATGGAAAGGGGAGTCACACTAGCTGAAAATCAAGAGAGACTTATAGATTATAATGGTATTCCAACACACACACACACACACACACACACACACACAATAGAGAAAACATTCTTACTATAAACACTGTGCTAAATATAACATAACCTTTTATGATTCAGAACATATCTGAGGATCTTAGCAAGACAGAGTTAATTTCTCCATGCTTTGATTATCTTGTTAGAATAGGGATAACAATAGCTCAAGTTTTAAGCATTAAATGTGATAATGCATATAGCATCACTAGATAAATGGGAAAGTGTTAGACAACTATTACTTTTCAAAATCACGATTATTATTATGACTCTCACTGTGAATTCACCAAATCCTGTTGAAGATGTGTACAGAAGGCATAGGAGATTGAAATAACTTGACACATTTAAAGCAATCTTTGAACTATCTCCGGATAAGCTTCTTTTGCGTTTTTTCATAAATAGAGAGACCCAAATGTGGGAAGGAGGGAAATACAGTTACTTCTACTTTCCTATGTTTGATATTCCCAACAATTGCCAGATTTCCCTGTAGGGCATTTGAAAGGTTTTACCAAGCAAAAATGAAGATAAAGCACGGAAACATAACAAGTATCTCTCTCTTTTTTTTTTTTGGTTGAGACAGAGTCTCGCTCTGTCGCCCAGGCTGGAGTGCAGTGGTGCGATCTTGGCTCACTGCAAGCTCTGCCTCCCAGGTTCACGCTATTCTCCTGCCTCAGCCTGCCGAGTAGCTGGGACTACAGGCGCCCGCCACCATGCCCAGCTAATTTTTTTTGTACTTTTAGTAGAGACGGGGTTTCACTGTGTTAGCCAGGATGGTCTCGATCTCCTGACCTCGTGATCTGCCCGCCGCAGCCTCCCAAAGTGCTGGGATTACAGGTATGAGCCACCGCGCCCAGCCCAAGTATCTCTTGAATAAATGAATTTTTTAAAAATCAGTTTATTGCAATTTGATTCTGCTCATATTAAAGAATGTATACAAGCATAGAAAAAAAAATTTTTAAAGAATATCCATCTATCATTTTATAGTAGTTCTTCAAGTAGTAAGATTAAGGTTAACTGTAGTATTCATCTATGTAGTTTTTCTTTTTCCAAATTTTCTAAACTTAAGATAATATTACTCATTTATAATAAGAAAGAATTTTTAAAAATATCAATAAATTTTATATGAAAAAAGCTTTAAGTGGAAGTAAGCAATCAGAGGGGAGAAAATCCACTCAGCCAGATGTTTTATCTTCTGGTACGCTAAAAAACCAAAATAGATTTTATTTCTATCCTGTAAAACATCTGCTGAGATGAAAGGGGAACCTGGTAGGACTTAGTTTTATAAGGCAATTTAAGAGGACTTTACTATTCATTAATTCATGCCTGCCTCCTGCATACTACGTTTACGCCCCAACTTAAAATGACAGCATTTATAATAAAAAAAATGGCAAAAATTAAAAAGGGTGGGGGAGAATTATCACCCGGTAAAAGATAAGTATGGCCCTGCTAGGAGACTTTCACCAGCTGCCATGAAGCCTTCCACTAGAGGTGACACAGCAGTTAGCTGCAGGCTTTCCTAAGCGGACTCCTGCCTTGCTCTTCGGCCTGGGCAGAACTAGGCACAACTGCTGGAACACACCCTGTTCTCCCCAACCTCTCTGCTTTTCTTTACACATGCCATGCTTCCTATCTCCATCCTGCACCAACCCTTTGCCTCTCAATTCCCACTCATCCTCTGCAACTTGGCTTTGATGGGGTCTCGTGCAGAAAGATAGCCCGGGGCACTCTGCATTAATTCTATCACAAATCAAGCTGTATTGTCTTTGCTTTTCTTTCTCCCCTGGACTATGAGCTTCGTGATGGCATGACTATTACAGTTTGTGGCACAGAGTAGGTGTCAAAAAAATTGTTGCATGAGCAAGTGAGGAAGTGACTGACTATATAGCTAGCTGTGACCTAAGAAGGAAAGAGACACTTGCAGAAGGCAACCACATGAAGATGTAGCTTACCTGTGAAATAACTGACTTACACAGACTATGACATGTGACAATAAATAAATGTAACAATCATCTGCATAAATACTGGCCTACTAGAATAAGGCTTCCTATAGTGTAGGTTCATTTTTAATACTGCCTTTTTTGAGGACCTGGAGGAGGTATGGCATTGTTACCTTGCTAAATACCATTTGGTACTCTACCCTAACAATTACAATGGTAGAAAATGACAACAACATTCAATAATAGTTTTTCCCATCTATAGTTATACAACATTTTTCATAAACTCAAAATCATGATAAGGGCCAGGCGCTGTGGCTCATGACTCTAATCCCAGCACTTTGGGAAGCCAAGGCAGGTGGATCCCTTGAGGCCAGGAGTTTGAGCTCAGCCTGGCCAACATGGTGAAAGCCCGTCTCTACAAAAAATACAAAAATTAGATGGGTGTGGTGGTGCGAGCTTGTAGTCCCAGCTACTCAAAAGACTGAGGCAAGAGAATCACTTGAGCCTGGGAGGCACAAGTTGTAGTGAGCCAAGATTATGTCACTGTACTCCAGCCTGGGCAAGAGAGTGAGATCCTGTCTCAAAAAATAATAATAATAATAATAATAATAATCAATACAGAAAAGTTTAAGTGTCAATGCTGAATAATGCTTTGGTGCCTGGCCTGTTAATATTCAATAAATGCCAAGGTTTGAGATGTGTTTTTTTGTTTTTTTTTAAATCCTATACACTGGCATTGGGGAGGAGGCCACATTTTCAAGAATACCAAAATCTAAGCATGTTCTAGCTACAAAGGTGCTCCTCACTGCATGCCAGGATTCTTCCCAAATAAACAAATCATCTCTTGTTGGGTCCCATCAAAAGTGCATCCAAAAATGCTAGCTTTTCAAATGCAAAGCCCAACTTCAGTCTCAGCAAATGTGACTCAAGCTAAACGTCTCAAAGACATGATCTGTGTCTTCTCATCCTTTTACCCTAGGCATATGTATCCATCATAGTATCAGGCACACAGGAGGTACTCAAAGTTTATCACATAGAACCAAAACAATTTGCCCTTCCACATCATCTTGTGGAATCAAAAACAAAACCACACTCCTCTTTCTCAGTTTTCAATGCAAATGGCAGATGTCAGCTACTCAGTAGTTTTGGAGCACAGAGTAGCAGCTTTATTTACTTACTTCCTCTTTCTCACCTCCCCACTCCAATGCCAGATGAGACCAGGAGTAACAAATTCTTCTAAAAGGTGTGGTATACCATCTCTCTGCCCCTTGCACTGCACTGGATTCATAATTGAGTGTGGAATTCCCCAACCTTTCCATTAAAAGTCCATTTGATTTTTAGACCACATGGAAAGCAAAAGAAACCATCTGCTTTGTGAAGTGTGTGTAGGCACGCTTGCAGCTTTCGGAGCAGGTAACACTGCCTGGGAAAAGCCTCCACAACAGCTTTGCAAACTACCCTGGCCTGCTGAGAGCGCATGTGTTTCAAAATCAAGGAAGGCTGGGAACAGACCCAAGGCAGGGCTTCAGTAACCACATTTAGCCGCCGACCTCTCCATCTGCATAATGCCCTCACCTTCTAAATGTCTCTTCCTTCAAGACACCTCACATCTGAAGGGGGAAAAGATGAGAGACAAAATGAAAGCTGAAAGATAACAAACAGTGCTTACAGTGGAGAAAACAGTCAAATCCAAAAGCCATCCTTGTCTCCATCCACTTCTCTCGTCACCTCTACCCTTAGCATTTATCTCTATTCACTTTTCCCTAACACAGAATAATATTTATTTAGAGGATATTGAGTACCAGTCACTATGCCAAGGACCCTACATCCATTACCTCACTTAATTCTCTTAGGTACCACCCTCACCCCAGCTGTACAGAATAAACTGAGGCTGAGAAAAGCCACCACTTCTCCTGGTTACGCAGCTGGAAATGGGCAGGGCTATGCTGACTGTAAACCCAAGGCTCCCTCTGTGGCATGTACCCTCATTCTCCCAGGAATATCTTCAGAGCCCTGGCCAGAGAGGTGAGAGAAAACATAAAGGGGAATTAGGGCCAGGCACAGTGGCTCACATCTATAATCCCAGCACTTTGGGAGGCCGAGGCAGGTGGATCACTTGAGGCCAGCAGTTCGAGACTAGCCTGGCCAACATGGTGAAACCTTATCTCTATTAAAATACAAAAAAATTAGCAGGGCATAGTGGTGCAATGTCTGTAATCCCAGCTACTCGGGAGGCTGAGGCAGGAGAATCACTTGAACCCAGGAGGTGGAAGCTGCAGTGAGCCGAGATCACGCCACTGCACTCCTGCGTGGGCAACAGAATGAGACTGTCAAAAAAGAAAAGAAAAGAAAAGAGAAGAAAATAAATCTCAAGCAAGGAGAAGTCAGTGACTTGCCCATGATCACACAGTGAATGAACCAGGGCAGGAGGCCAGGTCCCTAGACACCCTTGGTCTTTTCCTGTTTTACTTACTAGCCAATGTGACTCTCTCAGATCTGTCTCTCCTTCAGATTTCCACGTTCCTCAGCAAGAACTACCAATTTTTCTTTCCTAGATAAGCAGTGAACTTTCCAAGGGTATCAAAACGGAATAGTGGAAAGAGCACTGGCTTTTGAGCTAGGGTAAAATCTAGGGGGCTCCAGTCCCAGTCACTGAGTGGCTGTGAAACCCTGGGTAGGACTTACAAGCACTCAGGTTTCAGGTTCCTCATCTGTAATTTGGAGGTAACAATACCTGCCCTCTCTACCCTAATGGAGTTGTCAGAAAAATCAAATGAGAAAATGAACGTGAAGAGTTCCTTATAAAACTGCAAATACTGTACAAATATAAAGGATTATTATTTTTGGATTCAATAGTCTTTCTCAAATGAATGAAGCCCTGTGTAGCTAGATTGTCGAGTTATGTTATAAATAACCAAGAAAAATGTTCTGATTCTTGAAACAATTTTACCAGCCTGCTCTCTCCCATGAAAGGACACTGTTTGTAAAATAAATTAAATCAGCACTCCTTGCTATCTTCAGGACATAAATTGTTACTGGCTGAGGACAGGTAAGGGAATGGATATTTTCAAAGGCATACAGACCTCTGACTATAAAAAGAGCTGACCTTCCCTAGTCTAGAACACAGGGCTTGGGGCAAGATGGAAAAACAAAGGAGGTGTCTGCTTGTTTTACAACAAGAATTATCCAACATGGACTGCCTCATCTCCAACAGTGGTTGGAAGGGCTCAGATGCTAAAGTCAGCTTCTTGTTAAATATTTCAAGGGTGCTAATGGAACCAAAAGATCAACTCTGTTATGCATCAACAGGCTGGCTTTATCCTAAAACCAATTATAAATAAACTTCTAAATACAGCCTGCTTTAAATTTGTATTTTAAAAAATACATCCAACCTTCATGTCATTCGTCACCAGCACATATCCACATTATCTGACTCATCTAAAACCCACTTTTCTCTGGGGATACCATCCTCTGCTTCTGTGACCATTTGCCTCCAGGATCGTGGCTAATACAGAATTATTTCAAATAACTTCTAAAGGTTCCTTTCTCTTTAGGAAGCAGAAATTCACTGCCAAATACACTGCTTCCATTCACAAGATTATTTATGGCACTGATAATTAAATTCCAGTCACGTGACTAAGGAAGCCTGGGTTGAGAGGGGAAAGAACCCAACCGTAATTTCTAGAAAGATCCATAAATTACTGCTTTTCTCCCCTGAGGTTGAAGTCCTTGGAGCTCTATGGATTCTTCCTTAGCACTGACTCTAAGTTTGGAATCATCACAGAAATTCCTTTCTCTGCACTCAGTGACAAAGCTCTTAAGGTAAACTCTTTGAAATTACTCTTTGTATCAGCCCCTGAGGATTTCTAAGGGGTGCACAGGAAATCCCGTTTTTCAAGGACCAAATGCTGCTGTCTCTAGGCAAGCACACAGTTCCTATAAGTACAGAAGATGAGAATTAAGGGTACAACCTTATGACAATCTGTGCTCTCTTTCCCCCAACAAAGGCACACACCATCACATCCACACCCACACAGGTATAGCACCATAGGAATGATAGCCACAGGGAGGAGGATTCTCTTATTCGTCCTCAGATTAGATCAGCAGGCCATTTTCTCCATTTCTTCAAGAAAGACCTACCAAAAACCTTTCCTAAATAAGGAAACTTCTCCTCTTCTCAAATCCTATATTCAATGTTTTAACAAAGATGAGGCTTTAATGAGTCAACGTAGTATGCATTATAGATAACAGTTATCTGTTATTATCACTTGGCTCAACCAGAGAAAAAAATGTCACCACATTTACTTGATTACTTTCAAAATATTTCATAATTATGTTTAAAATAAAAATACAATGAATAATGGCAGTCTAGAAGGAACATTAAACATTTTTTTCTCTAAGAAATACCTTCTAAAATATATCACATTTCGATTTGCTCGGCTTTTTATTTCAAGTAGATGGGTTAAACATCATCATCCTATTGTAATACTTTTTTTAGCCTGGAATAATTTTAGCATTTTAGAATTTTTCCACAGTCCTTTTTATTTAATGGTTTCAGAGAATATAATAAACACCATTTGATAAAAGATTGGGAATAAAAGAAACTGAGAGTGTAAATAAATCTTCCAAGGTTACATAGCCAATCTGGTATCCATTTTAAGGCTTTATACTAAGTATTAACACAAGCAGCCGTGTAGGCATGCCTACATAAACACACACACACACACATGCCACAGAGCAAAGGCAAACACTGCATTAGCAAGTTAGACATTATTCTCTATAAACTTTCTGCCCTTTTCTATTTAAGAAAGAATGTCTCTTTTTTTTTTATGAAACTGAAACAGTTCATTACTGTTTAAAACAACAACAAAGTCTGCTTCTTTAGAAGCTTATCAAGACCAAACACCTTTGTGGGTGCACCATCACTGATGTTGGCACAGCTTTGTGATAAGTGTCCAGCCGTTAAAAAGGCAGGGACACTAATTTTTGCTCAGTTCAGACCCTCTTCTAAAGTTCCAAGGTAAAGAAATGCTTCCTACTATACACCACGAAGAATGCAATTTTGTAGGAAAGTTCAAAATGTTACTGATAGTTATCTTTGTCATTTAGATGGCAAAAAAAGGTCTGGGGGTGTGGGGGAGGGCATATTCCCAGGCAAGAGTTCAAGTTTGGTTACAGTCCTAAGCATCCAGAAATCCTACACAGGCTAGAGTACAGGGAAATGCCAAATGCTATGACTCGACTGTGAGCACCTCCCAAGGCTATTTATTAGCAAGCTGGATTTCTGGGCCTATCCTAACAATGTAGGTCTTGTCCATAATTTGCCCAAGAGCCCTACAGCGTCTTGAAGGTCAGCTCAAGTTCACAGGCATTCCTCCTCCCCCATCGAGGTAAAAGGAAGTTCTAGAAAATGCTGTGGATCAGAGCAGCTGTGAACCTGTCCAAATGCCACTGACATTTTAGAAATCTTTCAGGGAGACAGGTGTGAGATTCATTCACTTAACCTCTGGGGTCAAGGATGCCTTTGGGAACTTGATGAAAGCCACAGCTGATGGTGTCCAGAGGTTGCAGTCAGACAGTTGTCTATGCATGAGGATCTCCAGGGTAGCTCTATATAGCCAGATGAGGAGGCCAACACAGTGCCTACAGGTACTCAATAAAATTGACTGCCTGACCTGTGCTAATTTACCATGCCTTCCAAACAACAAATGCCCAACGACTACATGGTAGGGGTAATGGGAAAAATCTTCCTTTCTGTACCACCAAAAATCACAATATAATGGCAAATAGAACAAATAACATTACTTTTATTTAAATACCAAAGAAGAAAGCTAAAAATCTTTGCTGTTCAAATTCAATCAGAAGAAAACTGGTTTACTCAACTAATATGGCTCAATGACCATTTCTTGAGCAGCTACTATGTGCAAGAAGCCAGGATTCACAGAGAACACCAAAGAATTATAAGGCCATTTCTACCAACTGGGAATTCAGAACCAAGTTGGGGAGAAAAAAAACAAGAAAGAGGTTACTGACATCATGGGCCATGTTTTAAACCGTTCGCTTTCCCCAGTAAGTAACACAGTGTTTGACAATAAGGGGCATTTAGTAAATATCGGTTGACCACCGAACATTACTGAGTACACGAACACCTAACACACAAGGTAGAATGAGAGTACTGAGTCCAGCCAAAAAGTAGGTAAGGTAATTGCACTGGAAATTGTGGACCCCTTTCCACATTTGGTTGGGGGTGTCCATAAAGTCTTCAGGAAGAGCTGATAGCATTTTAAATGCAGATTGAATGACAAATAGGATTCTACTGGACAGAGATGTGAGGATGGAAAGAAGAGCATTCCTTGGGGGGACAAACTAAGAGAATGCAGGGTGAGAAGTGTCCTGGAAACAAACAGCAAGAAATCAAGTTTGACTGGAACACAGAATAGTGGGAAGGAAAAAGGAGTAAATATTTAGAATCCTCTCTTCTGTGCTTGTTACACAGCTGGAAAAACCAGGCTTCAGACCTTCTATGTTGCCTTTTAAGCTTGCAGCAGCAGGGGAAAAAAAACTTGGAATATTTATCTAAAAGCTTTCAAGATCCACTAAAATGACTTTTTTTCCTTTAGGGAGGAATTGACTAAATTTTGCAAATAAAAGATCCCCTTAAACAGAGTCAAGGCTAAGTTTAACAAGTTGCTATTTTATGCATTTAGGCTTCCCACAAACAGAGCCTGATAGGAGGAGCAGAAGTTTCACAGGTTTGTTCTTTGTTTTATATAGCTGCATCTTCTCACCAACAAAATTATGATAAGACAGACTTTGTTTTCTAAACAAACTTAGGGCCTTCCATAAGCAAAGGAAGTAAGTCTTGCTGCAAAAAAGGAAATGCTGATAAGTTGGTAAATGAAAAATATTTAACAGCCATTCATAATTAAGTTTTCAAAAAACTGTGACCAAAGCTGTGGGTTTGTAGACAACACCAAGATTGCTATAGCCAGGGCTTAATTTTTCAAGCCTTAGAAAAGAGATACATAACCTCCATCTTACAAGCATGAAATAGTCCTGGAGTATTCCAAATATATTTTGAATTTTAAGGAATATAATCCAAGAATTTTTCATTGAACACCTTCAAAAATCAAGGTCATAAGAATATGTTGGTGTTCATAATCTTCACATATCTCTAGTTTAGGAAACTGAAGCTAATTCCTTTAAGAAATTCCAAACAAACAAAGTCTCACCCAGCTGTATATTTAATTCTAGTTAATGTTATAAATAATGCTGTTTTATTTAATCATTCCCCATCATAAAAGGGCAATTTACTAGGGTATTTTTTATTTCAAAAACTATAACTTTTTCAAATATATCTCTCAATATATACCTTTAATATACATGCACACGCAGAGACAGCCAATTTAGGCAGAAGTAGGTGTCACTGAAATCAGTTGCTTTAGAAAAATAATGTAAACATAAGTCAATGCTTGCACTTCCACAGAAGCAGTGGTTTTTAAAAATCACAACTGGTCTTTGCACTATTGATTAGGGCTTTGCTTTTCTATATCTGTATGGGTTAATTCCACAAGCTTATATGATTATTAATGCCCCAAGTTAACATAAATATATGTGCTAAACTTGGCTTAAAAATGTATACCTAAAGTAACACAAAAAAAGCTCTGACAATGTTCCCCACTACCTGCAATCAAAGCTCAGACCCACTAGCCCTCTGATGGTCCTTTATCTGATCCATCATGTACATGCAAGGTATCAACTGGCATAAAATCTTCCTAATCTTATTAAGTGTACATCAAAATCTATATATGTGGAGAGCATCCAACACTGGAATTTAAATAACCTTCAGGATTTGAGCTAGGGGTTTTGCCAGGCATACCCAGAAATCTACCAGAGATAAAAATAAGCTGTAAAATGCCTTTGAAAGCTTGGTGGTAGAGAAAATGAAATTAAAAGAAAACTAAAAGGATCATAACACCTAAAACCTGCAAATGTTTTAATGAGAAATAACACCATTTTTGGCTCAAACAAATAACAACAGGATTAATAGTTGTAGATTTGTCCCTTCTACTGAGATCCTTTTTCAAATTATTTCAAAAAATGAGTATGTGAGAGATTGATTTTTAAAGCCATGTAAATTCTCAGAGACAATGCAGACTGACTTAATTATAATCAATAAAATCTACAGACATTGATGCAACCCAGCAGAAACACCGCTACCAAAAAGGCATAGCATAAAAGTCACCCTGTGGCTCCCTTTGTACACAACAGTAATATGACCTTAATAAATATTTCATTCCTTTCAGTGAATAACCAAGCATCAAGATAGCAAATTTTAATAGCTATGAAATAATATCATAATGACTCTACAAAGAAAATGCCTCCTTTAGAGAAAAGTAACCTTATTTTAAAGTGAAAGTTTTAGTCTTCATTTCCAAAACATACTCCAAATCAGTACACGATCATACATGAGTACACTCATCTATCTTCCTTGCCATACAGATTGAGATATTGCTTAAAGAGGTTTTTACAGGGTTATTTTTCTCACTATGGGAACATAAGAAATGTCTTATGGGAAAATATGTAAATTCTTTTTTTGTTTAGACAGAGTCTCACTCTGTCACCCAGGCTGGAGTGCAGTGGCATGATCTCAGCTCACTGCAACCTCCACCTCCTGGGTTCATGCCATTCCCCTGCCTCAGCCTCCCGAGTAGCTGGGATTACAGGTGTGTGCCACCTCGCCCGGCTAATTTTTTGTATTTTTAGTAGAGATGGGGTTTCACCGTGTTAGCCAGGATGGTCTCGATCTCCTGAACTTGTGATCCGCCCGCCTTGGCCTCCCAAAGTGTTGGGATTACAGGCGTGAGCCACTGCGCCCGGCCAGAAGGAAGGAAAAGATGTAAGTTCTTTAAGTACAAGAACACTATATTTATCCTCACACAAAGTAGGTCCTCAATAAACCCTCCTGAATTGACTGTAGGGAAGAGACAATAATCATGCTGAGAGAGCCTATACTCCCAGGTTTCTTTCATGAGTTAAAATTAACACCTAAGAGTCTATAAACTATAAGTAGTTTGGTAGGTGTTTCTTCACTAAGTACATTATCATATATTTACCCATATTTAAGAAAGAAACCTATGACTCCCAGGTTTCTTTCATGAGTTAAAATTAACACCTAAGAGTCTATAAACTATAAGTAGTTTGGTAGGTGTTTCTTCACTAAGTACATTATCATACATTTACCCATATTTAAGCCCATCTGCTATTTTTCTTCTCAGTTGGCCAGTGTGGGTGGATCTTCTGATACAGGGAAAAGAAATGAGTATGGAACACAGACGGAGCTGGGTTCAAAGCTCAACTCCAAAATGTAATGAATACATATCTCAGGCAAGTCATTTGGTGTGGACTTGGCATCCTCATCAAGGAAACAGTGGTAACAAAAGCTAATTTATAAGATTGGGATGAAGATTAAAGACAGCAATTTCAATGCGTCTGGCATAATCTCTCACATTATAGGTAGATATTGAATGGAAATGTACTATATTTTCCTATACAAATAGGTTTCCCTACTCTTTTCTTCCTTGTCTCTAAGAGTCCCCTATTAAAACAAAGCAATAATTATAATCCTACTATAAAGTAGATTTTCATACAGCATCTGGACAAAATTTTTATTTTTAATCCTAACTAGATTATTTGGAATAGCAGACTGGTTCTCATATCTATATACCCTTTCAATCATTCTAAAAGACTGTCTAAGCATAGTCTTCCCTAATAAAACAGTTTTGCCTTTTATCCTATAGCTTAACTATTTAATTATCGTAGTATTACTAAAGATTCCACTAACTTGCTCAGCCTGACAAAGTGATTACGTATTGGATTATATGTTGTAAAAGTTCCCATGCTTTTAGGTACTCAGTAGGCAGCCAACTCACAGACCCTAAACTTATCATAGTAATATTGAGGAGTAACCCTTCAGATTATCTGGGGTTCTTTTTTATTAACATCTAGATCATGAAAACCCAAATTTATAACCCCAAGAAGAAATGATCAGGACCAAATTGGCAGAAATATTTTTCTCAATTTATCTACATGTGATGACTTCCTGAATTTGTCAAGGACATTAAAGAACAGCTAACTCAGCAGTTAAGCTGCAGAAAGGTGTAAGCAAAAATATCACACGAGTCAATTTGCTGGAGTCAAACAGATATGGTTTTCCTTTAGTGCATTCTTAGCTGTGATTTGGAGTTCTTCAAACTTCCATGATTCTTGAGTTTAGTTAACTAAATACATACGTGGTTTGGTAGCACTTCAACTACATACATGCATATAGAATATACTTTTAATCAGCTTAAAATGGCTGCTTTTGTAAAGCATTTTGCAAGAATTTCCCAGTGTCTGAGTTAAGTATACAGATATTAATAAAAAGAGATTTCTTTCTAATAGAGATTACCAAAATCAGGTAACAATGATTTACAAAACAGGCATTTATCTCAGAATAAAAACAACTAAAGGGAAGTGTAGTTTATCCATCATTTTTAAAAAATAGAGTAATTCATATATTAAAATGTAATATAGCAGTACAGAAATAACATTAAATGGTATTTTCTTCTCTAGCTTCTCCACTAAAACTCTAAATAAACTTTTCCAAGAAATAAATTTATACAATGTTCCCTCAACAGTTTGCACATTGTTAGCAATGACCTATCGTATATATAATACGAAACCATTTAAACAAAAAAATAAAGCACTGGCTGCCTCTCCGACCCTCCTCCTTTCCACCCAAATGATACCTTCACTTTATAATCCCCAATCTGAAGATTTTTGATAAATACTGCAGGCCACAGGGTCTTCAGGTCCTGCAGTTGGGTTTCATGTTGAGTTAGCTGCTGTGCCAGACAGCAACTGTTCACTAGTAAGTGCAACAATGATTTCCCACTTCTTCACCATCTCCCACTGTAGAGGCTAGAAAGCTTGAGACATTTGGCTGGACGTGGTGGCTCACACCTGTAATCCCAGCACTTTGGGAGGCTGAGGTGGGCAGATCATGAGGTCAGGAGATTGAGACCATCCTGGCTAACATGGTGAAACCCCATCTCTACTAAAAATACAAAAAAATTAGCCGGGCGTGGCGGCGGGCGGCTGTAGTCCCAGCTACTCGGGAGGCTGAGGCAGGAGAATGGCGTGAACCCAGGAAGCAGAGCTTGCAGTGAGCTGAGATCACGCCACTGCACTCCAGCCTGGGCGACAGAGCAATACTCCATCTCCAAAAAACAAACAAACAAACAAAAAAAACACATAACAACAAAAAAAAGAAAGCTTGAGACATTTTCCCAAGCTTCCTTGCAGCCAGAATGACCCAGTTTTGGCCAGTAAATCATAAGGGATGTCTCCTGTGTAGTTTCTGGAAAAGTTTTCACTTTCCTGATAAATGGAATAAATAAGGCTAGTCTAATGTATCTCCTTCATTATCCTACCTTCAACATACATATGGCAACCATAAATGACAAGCACTTTTTTTTTTCAAGTCAACAAATGAAGCATGTCAGGACAGAAAAATGGAAAGTGTCTAAATTCTTGTTGGTATTAGTGAGCAAATAAAAACACTAGCTATTACTGCTGGACTCACTGCTATGTAAGAAAAAAAAATCTTTGTTTAGACCACTGTTAAACTAAAATTTTTCTTTCTTGCAGCCAACAGCATTCTCAAGATACAGCTGCAATTATTTAAAGCATCCTATGATTCATGTAAAAATCTGCACTTCCAGATTCTTAGGAAAAAATTAAAAGAACTGACAACACTGGGCCCAGATTTTCACACAGCACCAATTGGCTAGAGCCAAGGGGCCTCAACTGGGACTCATGGCCTTTCAATGGGACATGGGCTGTTGCTATGTCTATGGCCTACTTCATTCCTTTAGTTACCTCTCTAGATGCTCCAAGCATTTTAAGACCCCAGCATACAAAAATAGATACCATGCAGTATAAAAACAAAGCACCATTAAAACCAACAAAGTATTTTCTGTTTTGCTAGTTAGAATGCAGGTGTCCAGCATAATAGTCACAGTCTCACTTATAAAAGTATGTCTTTTTTTCTGACTACTAACTTTTTCAACAGGCACACCAATTTCGCTTCCATAGCACACCACCAGGTCACCAAAGAATGATGCAATACTAGTTAGGTCTAAAAACAATATCATGGTGACAATAATGATAAAAATAGCTACTATTTACTGGAACTATAAAATTCTAGGCAAAGTGCTGAATGCTTTACAAATACCATGATGTTTAATCCTTTACAAAAAAAACCAATTAGGTAGGTATATTAACTTTGCTTTAAAATAAAGTGAGTCTCAAAGAAAAGAACTGATCCAAAATGGCACAGCTAACAAGCAGCAGACAGAGAATTCAAATCTAAGTCTTTCTAAGACACATAACTCGTAACCACAGGTTATATTGCTTCACAAAGAAAAGACCAAAATTATTTGATTGTTTTTGAGAAACATTCCATAAAGTGTCTCAGATCCTACAACTTATTCCTATGTAGCTACATTCTAACATGAATATTATGTCAAGTATTTGATCTTTAATGCCCATTAGTATAAGTCTTTATTCCGGTATAGGATTTTTCTTTTTTCAAAAGGCACTTCCTTCTTAAGTGTAACTGACCTGGTACAGTTAAGTTCTTGAGATTCAAAAGTGACTCATTTCCAAAGCTCCACACATTAGCAGCTGATATTATTCAATCTGAGATTTAAATTTATAATGTACTCTTGATAATGTACTCCCAATACATTTTTCACTTCTCTCTTGAATGACACAAGATAAAAGATCTTTAAGGTATAAATATTTTATATAAACTTTCACTCTGTTTTTCCTCAGCCATTTTCCATTTGCAAACACTAGACATGCAAAAAAAAAAAAAAAGGTTGAAAGAGTTTTATGGATTATGTTGTGGGGGGTGGTGGCTGAGAACTGCTTATCCATTCTGCTGTGGCAGCAGACACCACAGCTACGGGCCTAACTGCCCTTGCTGGCTAATCAGAATGTTCCACCCTCCATGGGGTCTGATTCAGAGTACTGTTTTCCATGGGACAGATAGTGGGCTAAAAGGAACAAGTTCCCAGCATAATCTATCATGATAGAAACTAAGAATACGGATAGTGCCCGTGGAACCCTGGTACTAGGATGCCTCCTTCAGCCCAAAGGGTAAGGACACAGCCATCCCACCCAGGCCTTGGGTAAAAGAACACAGCCTTCCCAAGACTCAAGACCCCAGGTAAGCATGTGGCTTTTGGCAGATCATTTATAACTCTGTCTTTTCACATTTGAAACATGAAGAAGTTAACCCATCAAAGGTTTTCGAACTACGTGCACAGTTTCCCCCAGGGCCTTGCTTCTCAAAATGTGGCCAATGCATGTTTAACACATTAGGAGTTTATCTGAAATGCAGAGTCTCAGGTGCCTTCCCAGACACACAGAATCAGAATCTGCATGTAACAAGCTTCCCAGGTGACTCCTCGCTCTAGGGGCTGATTCCAACTGGGGCTGCTTCTGGGAGAAAGAACAGGTGGGCCAAAGTTATTAATAATATGGATCCAGTACTCGCATACTTTTCAACTTAAAAAAATAAATACATGTACATAGCTTCTCCACAGATTTGGTCCTGAAGGAAACATTCCTATTTAAATAATATTTGAAACCACTGGAGAAAATTATCTATGAGGTCCTTCATAACTACAGATGTCTATGACTTTATAAATTTACAAAATTGCTTACATTCACCACTTTAATCACTACCTGTTTTCTACATTAACTCATTTTGGAGCAAAATCTTCCATCATTTGTTACTAATATTATTATATGCAGAAACATGCTTTAATCTTTTCCTAAAGATATTATTAAGAACACAAGTTAAAGCGTTCCAATATAGTGAACACCCAAACAACTATTTAGGAATTTAAGTATACAGGATTATAGAGGGGTGTGTGTGTGTGTATATATAAATGTAAATGTATACGGATACACATACACACATAAACACATGCTCCTCAACTTGTGACAGAGTTACATCCTGATAAACTCATCATAAAGTCAAACCGTTGAAAGTCAGAGACTGTCTGCGTGTGTGTGTGTGTGTGTGTGTGTGTGTGTGTGTTGCACATGGCGCATGTCTAGAGAGAAAGAGAGGATCTCAAGCTACTATCCATCTCGACCTCTTGGACAGTGTCTCCATGTCTTTCTTCATTGTTCAGCTGCCAGCTAACACCTCTTGTTTGTTTCTAGTTTCCAGACTGAAGCAGCTGTCCACTATGACTTTATTTGCTGCTCTGGAATGAAAAATCAGACTTGTGTCTAGAACAGAAGTTGTTAGACCTCATCGAGGAGGTCTTCTCTGTACATAAAGATTGTGCTCTCTAGCGCTTGAACTTGGTAAGTTTTCAGATGTATTTCCAAATGTACAAACTAACAAACAAAAACTGCAGATAAAGGAAACGTAACCGTAAATGACTTTAAGAAAAACATGTACTGCCAGGCACGGTGGTGCACACCTGTAATCCCAGCACTTTGGGAGGCCAAGGTGGACGGATCACTTGAGGTCAGGAGTTCGAGACCAGCCTGGCCAATATGGTGAAATCCCATCGCTACTAAAAATACAAAAATTAGCTGGGCATAGTGGCGAGTGCCTGTAATCGCTGCTACTCAAGAGGCTGAGGCAGGAGAGTCACTTGAACCTGGGAGGCAGAGGTTGCAGTGAGCTGAGATTGTGCCACTGCACTCCAGCCTGGACAACAGAGTGAGGCTCTGTCTCAAAACAAAACAAAACATGTATTTTACTTTCTCAGTTTCCCTCATCTCACAACAATGCAAATAATCTAGATTGTGATCAACTTTAGAAAGTTATTGAAAAGTCTATAAAATGTGACTTGGTGCTATATCATGATGACAACCATTCGGGGAACAGGAAGAGAGTAAGGAGGAAACTAAAATGGAAGAGAACTTTCTCAGTGTGTACAGTCATCTGCATTAGTCAGCGTTTGTGGGCTACTAAAGCAGCCCCAAAACTGGATAAGCTAGACCAGTGTAAGTCAATGCAATTATAATCTATTCCGAGTTCCAGAGAGGTGAGGTTTTAACCGTCCAAGTTCAGTCCTCCTTACCACATGCTCAATGCAATACAATCACAGAAGGTTCAATTCCCCAATCTTCCTCTACCTGGGAGATGGGAAAGTGTCTAGAGATCACACAGATAGGCTCTCTGTTGGCTGAACCTATAAAGAGAAGGCTTAAATATCTCATTTCAAAGTTGGATGACACTTCAGAAAGTTTCTCAAAATTTAGCTGCATCAGAATCACCTGAAGAGCTCATTAGAAATCAGATTGCTGGACTGCATTCCCAGAGTTTCTGATTCACCAGGTCTCGGAAGGGGCTAGGAATCTAACCTGCATTTCTAGCAAGTTTCCCAGTGATGCTGATGCTGCTAGTCTTGCAACTACCCTTTAAGAGCACTAACCTAGGTCAAGCCCTTATTTTAAAGATGACGCAACAGGGGACCAGGGGAGATGATTTGGCCAAAGGCACAGAATGGGTACTAGGGAGGCAGGGATTCCAGTTCCCTTCTCCTGCCTCACAGTTCCAGGCCCCTCCTATTAAAGAACAGCCCACACTGATTTGATGAAAGGTATCCAAAGAATGTCTGTATCTATAAACAAATGTCCTTGCTGCCTTATGCTTATTTGACACTTTAAAATTACATCTACAGGCCGGGCGCGGTGGCTCACGCCTGTAATCCCAGCACTTTGGGAGGCCGAGGCAGGAGGATCACCTGAGGTCAGGAGTTTGAGACCAGCCTGGCCAACATGGTGAAACCCCGTCTCTACTAAAAATATAAAAATTAGTCGGGCATGGTGGCAGGCGCCTGTAATTCCAATTACTTGGGAGGCTGAATCAGGAGAACTGCTTGAGCCCGGGAGGCAGAGGTTGCAATGAGCCGAGATCGAGCCACTGCACTCCAGCCCGGGCAACAGAGCAAGACTCCATCTCAAAAAAAAAAAAAAAAAAAGCATCTACATTATCTAATTTTATTCTCATAACAACCCAATGAGGTAGGCAGAACAAAGATTAATATCCCAATTTTATAGATTAGGAAACTGAGATGCAGAGTTGTTAAACAGTATACCCAAAGCCACAAAGTTAGCTAAGTGGTAAAGCAGACCCTTGCTACTCAGGGTGTGGTCAGAGGTTCTACAGCAGGGATGTCTCAGCGAGCTTGTCAGAAATGCAGCATCTCAGGCCCACTGCAACCATACTGATTCAGACTCTGCAGTTTAACAAGATCCCCAGTTGATTCGTATGCACATTGAAGTTTGAAAAGCATTGGGGTAGATAGGCCTAGAAACCAGGTCATCTAATTCCAAGATCAATGCTTTCTCTTGCCTCTTTTTTTCTCTCACTCTCTGAAAACTACCAGTAAGTGTCTTTTTGATTTGTTTTCCAACATGGCCTAATTAAGAAGTTAACTCTCACCAGGTAAAAAATGTTTACAGTGTTTTGCCTTTAAAAAAAATATTAAACTAGGTTAAATTACCTTTATTACTAGTCTCGGTAATTCCTCGGTAGCTATTTTCTTGACTGATGTATAGACCCCTATGAAATGAATCCTCGGAGAAGAAGATGGAAAAAAAACAAGACAGTGATCAATGGATTCAATTAGTTACAGTATAATTCTACCAAGATGAAAAAAGATCAAGATGCAATGCAACTACTCCAGGGTGGCTAAAATACTTTACCCAGAAAGTACACCATTTCTTTCCCACATTCTTCAACTATTAAGTTCAGTAAAGCACAAAACAGCTGCTCCTAAGACACCTGGGAAAATAACCAAAATAAATGCATGGCTCCTCACAACTGGAAGTATTTAAATACTGCTTTAATGGTCTAGGCATGATGACAACTGCATTTCTTCACATACAGGAAGTGTTATACAGACCAATTTCTCTAATGACAGCAAATCAACCCCTCTCGCGACATAAAGTCAACCAAGAATTAACTCTGTGGTTACTGTAAGACCACAGTTTTGAAACATGTATGCACGATTTTTCCTTCAACTTTTCAAATCAATCTCTTCCATTGAGATTCTCTGTTAAATAGAAACCAGAATACTGAGACAGTGCACTTATGAAAAGCTGATTAATTCAACATGGTAAGATGTAAATTCAAATGATTTCTTGTAAAACATATTAATCCTAGGCATCTGAATGAGTAAATATAAATACAAACACAAAAGGTTTTTTTGTGGTTATTTTTGGTCATTTCAGAGTTGCTTTGTACAAATGCATGATTAGTAAATCAGGGTAGTAGGATTCCAATTATTAAAATTAATGTGCAGGACATAGAAACAACCATTTATAATACCTGAGTAGATCAGTATATTAAATAAAACCTGCAATGTAAAATTATTAAGAAAGATGCACATCTAGTAAAAAGGGTTTTTTCTAATTTAAAAATGTGGTTAATTAATAAAGCTGATCAAGTGATTAACAGAATCCACAATCTTAATCCTATTATTTTCAAAGATGAAAAGGCTTTTCTGCCAAAAGCCAATTGCCTCCATTTGCTTAAGAATAATAAAATCTGACTATGATCTACCTACTCTATCTGAGATAATGTGTCATAGGCATACCTTTAATTCTCTTTGTATTTCTTTATAAGATACACAAAGCTGTTAGTGGTTTATCCCTCTGAAACCTGGGGATTCATGTAAATAACTTTTAACAGTGGGATCACACATAACAATTTACAGAGCACTGTGGCATAATGCAATTCAAAGTTGTGCTTGATTTAAAATGTTTAAAGTCCAACCACAGTGTCAGTCTGCCCAGAGAAATCTCTTATGAAAGTTTTCACACTCTGTTGGGTTAAGAGACAGTGGGTATTAATCCTATGGCTTCTACGCCAAGCTTCCTTTTTGTGGTCAGCAGAGAAGCTATGTGGTTGGTCTGAAGGAGTCCAAAGTCTTTTTCTGTGTTAAAACAAGGGAAAGTGGGCCGGTTACAGAGTAAAAGAAAAACCACAGCCAGCTCACTCTGCTGTGGCTTTTCCCTTAAATGTGGCCTACAGCTATTCTGCTTTCCAAAAAAAGGTTTAATTTAAACCATACACAGTGCTGCAGGCTGCCACGTTTCCAAACTCAACATTCCTTTCTAATCTGTGCACTTCAGAACCAACATACTCTGTTTCCAATGGTACTCAGACAAGCTTTAATAAATAAAATATCACTGCCCATCCATTACTTAATTTGATAATAATATGTCCTTTTTTTTCTTCCTCTATTGACATTATTCTAAGTGCTCATTCGAGTGTGTTGAACTGTTGTAAACATCACCTCTGAAAAATCAGTTCTGCTCTCTTTTGCAGGGAGTGGAGGGAAGGAAAGAGGGAGCTACAAAGTGAAGGAACTTATGAATGTTACCAAGTAGTCCAGAGCTCAAGAAAACAATCACTTTGTGAAAAGTCTGCATATGCCAAAAATAGCTTATTATTTTTATGTCAAAAACAAAAAAACAAAAAGCCAAAAACAGTGTTTGTTTATTCCTTGGATATGATACCAGAATCTATGCTGTCACTGAAAACTATCACTAGGAAAAATAACAGTCACCACAGCTCACAGCTATAGAACAGCCACATGATGAATGCAGTTCTCTTTGGCCACTGGTGTGGCCAGTACTGATCACCACACTGGCCACAGTGAACAGAATGAATACCCCACAGTTGGAGAGCTTTAATTTTTTTGCCTCAGTGTATTCACTTGTATGTTCATTAAGAACTCCAACCCCAGCAGGCAGCCCCACACAAGGTTTACTATGTGAGTTGCCATGCCCTATTATACATGACACTTGTCAATTAAAGAGGAAACCCTTTTAAAGCAAAGTGAAGTTAAGCTGGTACTTTCTTCAACATCTGATTTACCGCTGCTGTTATCTTCCAAAAGGAAGTTTGTTTTAGAACAATGATGGCAGTAGTAATCCTCCTATTTCACTAGTGAGGGATTTAAACACAGTCAGGGCACTGGGGACCAGTCAAAAGGTCTCTTTCGACAGAACTATGTATTTTCGGTAGTAAAAGGAATGTCTTACTGATGGGATAACTGCCAACACTGGACAATTTTTCAGCCTAACAGTTTAGAGAATATCATTTTAAACTACCCGGTATAATAAAACTGTGGCACAATAGATCAATGCAATGAATTCTCTATAGTCAGTAAAATGCTCTCCCAAATAATGAAATCCATTAATAATGATTACTGCCCTGGTGCCTTTGCCACAAAAGTAATGCCCAGTGCTACGTCTCAATGGTCTCTAATAAATACATACAAGTCCCACAAGAAGAACATAATCATAACATGGCAAATGAGGGCTGACTCCAGTGACAGTACAAATTAAAAAGCCATTATGAAGGATATTCACTGTTGAAAACTTATTTTACCTTGGAAAATACACTTTCCTTATCTGGAAAATGGGGCTTAGAGGAGATAACCTCTTAGGTCCCCTCCAGCTCTATGAGTCCAGGAGGGTTTAAAGTTTTCTCAAGGGTTTTAATTCTTTTTATTTTGGAGACAGTCTCGCTCTGTCGCCCAGGCTGGAGCGCAATGGCATGATCTCAGCTCACTGCAACCTCCGCCTCCCGGGTTCAAACAGTTCTCCTGTCACAGCCTCCGAGTAGCTGGGACTACAGGCGCACGCAACGCCGAGCTAATTTTTGCATTTTTAGTAGTGACGGGATTTCACCATGTTTGGTCAGGCTGGTCTCGAACTCCTGACCTCAGGTGATCCATCCACCTCGGCCTCCCAAAGTGCTGCGATTACAGGCGTGAGCCACCGCGCCCAGCCAAGGTTTTTAATTCTTAATGAACTCACTTTAGGACTTTCACCAGCACACCAATAATAATTAATGCCAATATGAGTTTGTGAAACTTTTGCAATGAAACTTTAATTGGGATTGATCTAGAGGGAAAAGGAAATGTAAGAGAAAAATTTCAACTCTAGATTTTTTTTTTTTTTTTTTGAGATGGAGTCTCGCTCTGTCGCCCAGGCCGGACTGCGGACTGCAGTGGCGCAATCTCGGCTCACTGCAAGCTCCGCTTCCCGGGTTCACGCCATCCTCCTGCCTCAGCCTCCTGAGTAGCTGGGACTACAGGCACCCACCACCGCGCCCGGCTAATTTTTTGTATTTTTAGTAGAGACGGGGTTTCACCTTGTTAGCCAGGATGGTCTCGATCTCCTGACCTCATGATCCACCCGCCTCGGCCTCCCAAAGTGCTGGGATTACAGGCGTGAGCCACCGCGCCCGGCCAACTCTAGAATTTTAAAGTCAAACATCATTTGTTTCTCGAAAAAACTGAAAGCAGCACATTTGGAACATAGAATTGCTAGAACATACAATTTCCTGGAAATGTATATGGGTGATCCAGCATGTATGAGCAGTCTTAAGAAAGTATACCTTTACACTTTTCTTTAAGAGAAAAACCTCAACGCTCAGAAATATATTTCAATTATATTCTTGATAAAAATGATCATGAATATTCATTGTTTCTTCTATAACCAATATGATGATAAATCCTTTGTATGAATTACTCTAATTTATTCCACACGGTAAGCCATTATTATCCCCATTTTACAAATGAGGAAACCAAGGCCTAGGGAGATTTAAGGAACCACTCCAAGGTGACAGAATTAACAAGTAACCAAGACAGAATTAAACCCAAATTAGGAACCCCAGAGCCTAAGCTTTTAGCAACAATGTAGACACTATCTCTTCCTGTTAAATTATATCTAACCTGGTTAAACCAGGCTGCTATCTTCCAAGCCCTTTATTTTTGTGTGATGTGGACTGCTTTAACAGTCATAGGTCACGTCTCAATTTAAGACTGGTTTATATGCAGATTACTTCTACACTATAGATCTTTCATCTGCTCTATTTAAATGTATGTTTGGCCAGATGCAGTGGCTCACTGCCTGTAGTCTCAACGCTTGGGGAGGGTGAGGCAGGTGGATGGCTTGAGCCCAGGAGTTCAATACCAGTCTGGGCAACATGGCAAAACCCATCTCTATTAAAAATACAAAAAAATTAGCCAGGCAGGGTGGCGTGTGCCTGTAATCCCAGTTACTCAGGAGGCTGAGGTGGGAGGATCACTTGAGCCCAGAAGGCGAGGGCTGCAGTGAGCCAATATCGTGTCACTGCACTCCAGTCTGGGTGACAGAGTAAGACCCTGTCTCAAAAATAAAATAAGGCCGGGTGTGGTGGCTCATGCCTATAATCCCAGCACTTTGGGAGGCCAAGGCGGGCGGATCACCTAAGGTCAGGAGTTTGAGACCAGCCTGCCCAACACAACAAAACCCTGTCTCTACTAAAAATACAGAAATTAGCTGGGCATGGTGGTGCATGCCTGTAATCTCAGCTACTCGGAAGGCTGAGGTAGGAGAATCTGGGAGGCGGTGAGCCAAGGCTCACTTGGTTGCAGTGAGCCAAGATCGCACCACGCACTCAAGCCTGGGAGACGGTGTGAGACTCCACCTCAAAAATAAATAAAAAATAAAATAAAATAAAACAAATGTGTGTTTTTAAATTGTCAATTTACAATATTCACCAACAGTCTGAGTTAAAGTGTAAAAAATGATTCTTCTTAACTGGAGAGCCAAGTTTTCAAATTGTCTCCCAATCCTTTTAACAAATTCCAAAGTGCTCTTGACTAAAGGGAGAAAATGTAAAATTCCAAAGTACTCTTGACTAAAGGGAGAAAATGTAACAAGGGCCTTTGGGTAAACTCATATAGGAAGCTCTTTTCAGCTCACTGAATGTAAAAGCCAGGTTTTGTAGAGCCCTCTCTAAGCTGACCAATAAGGAGACAACTGAAAAGACATGAACTGCATGTGGATAAACAACTTACTTGATGTTCTAATGACCAGGGCAGTTCAGCAACTCATAAAAGAATAAACTAAGTTCTCACCTAGAATCCTTTGTCTATCACATGTCTAATAAGGCAGAAGACCTCGGAACTATTTTTCATATATCAAAACTTCAAACAAAAACTATACACTTACCCATGAAACAACTGAACAAGCTAGCTGAAACGTCAACCAACTCATTGCACAAACACTTTTATATTCATACTGTTGATGGCTCATTTGTGTGTTCAGTTACACGTGTCTGTTTTTACAACGGGAAAATTAGTTATTAACCAATGCAGTGTGTCTGGAACACCAAAAGTTTTCAAATATGGAACAAAAAATAATAGTTGAGGTCCTTGATGATAAAAGGGTTGAAAGTTAGAGAATTACAGTTACAGTCAAAGGCATCAACGGCTAACCTGAATCAGATTTAGACCCTTAGTATAGCAACAAAAGACCACATGATCAATAATTACAAGGAATCATAAATGCTTATAGACTCTGCAGGCAAATGATAGAAGCAGGCTGCTGATACAACATAATATAATAGGGAACAGTGGGGATTATGGCAAACTAGAAGGCACAGATTCCATCTAAAGACATTCCAATTCAAGTGTTTGAAAACACTGTGCCGGCAGTATTCAACCCACCAAAAACAGATTTACTAGCCCTGAACTCAACACACTCGTTTCATTGATCAGAAAACTTGTTTTCAGGAAAGTAAAGGGACTTGCCTAAATTCACTGCCTGAATTCACTCCTCACCTTTAATGACTAGATGAAGACTAGGAAGAAAATTTCCTGACTCTCACCCTGGGGCTCATTTACTGAACAAACCCAGTGCTTATATTGCCAAGGCCCTCTGGTGGAACCAGGGCCAGAAAGACAAATGATTTAACTCCCTGCCCTCTCTCTCCTCAGAGTAAAAGACACAGACCAGGAAACAAATATTACAATACAGTATTAGCCCTACAATGATTCTCTGTTCTCATAAATGCAATGAGAACACAAGAGGCAAACAGAAGCCACTTTAGTGGAGGCAGAGCTCAAATTTTAAAGTGTCCAATCTCTGCATGTGTGTACTCCTATGTGATAATGTTTCTGGACTTTATTTTTTATATCTTCAAAGCAACACATTCCACAGAAAGAAAAAAAAGGCCTTAGATCATGATACTCTTGGAAAGTCTTAGAGAAAACTTTAATAGCCCAGTGATAAATCTTCTAAAATGAGAATTTATAATAGAAATACTGACAGACCTTTAATTATGGCAGCACTATGGGGCTTTGTATAATAAAGCCCACATATTTTCAGCTTAGATCATTATTTATAGGATGCCTTGGAAAGGATTTTATTTACAAGTGCCTGCCTGAATCAATGAGGTAAAGTTTTACACAAGGAAAGGAAGTGCAAAGTACACTGTTTGAAAAAGCAGGGATTTACCTCCTGGGGTGCAGGAGGCCCAGGGTGCAAGGATTTCAGGCAGTGAATGATGATTTTGACTCCTCCAGTTTGTATAAAAGGTTGAAGTTCAGTCTGGCGCAGTGCAGCATTCCACAAGACCTGCTGCCTCTTTGGGCAGGCGATTAATCTCATGATCGATAGACCATATGATTAGGCACTAATAGCTGATAGGAGGAGAGAATAAACAACCATAAATTTGCTTTGTACTGAGTAATCCAAGTGTAGGCAGGGTCATTTAATGGCCCCATTGGGTCATGTTACCTAAGGGGCCATATGGAATAAAAATGGAAGATACATACATTTTTAAAGATCTTCAGTTATTATCACAGTGTTATGGAACCAGGACAGGACTCTCTGAGCAACACCATGAATTCAGTGTTCTTAAGTGAGAGATGCCAAGGTTTCCACATTCTGAGTATAGAGGGTGATTGCAGAAAGAATAATGGAAAAGTCTCATTGTTGAAATAATTCCTCTATAAGCACTATCAGCATCCGCCCTCAGTATAACATAAGTGGCCCTGGGTGGTCTAACTCATCACTCTGTGAGCCAGTGGAATCTGTGCCTAGGGGAGAAATGAAAGGGAAGCAGCACTCAGGACCCAGAATAGTACTATGTGTGTCTCTCGGTCAAAGCAGTTGCTGGACTATTTAATTTTGCCTTTGCATGCAGATCACTGCTCTGAGTTCCAGGGCTGTTTCTCAGGGTGTCATGAACTTCCAGTATTGGGAATGGTTACGCGACATAAAATCTGGGATCCAGAGGGTCATAAATCTCATTCCTTCTTTTCTCCTTTTCCCTGATTTCTTCTCCCTTTCTAAGACTCTGACCTCCTCAACCAGCCCCTTGAAAGAAAGAAATCAATCACCCGCAGACTAAAATGAAAACCTGAGCCTTCTCTGCACATTGGATCGTCTTCCCTTACCTATGATAAAATTAAGAAAAAAAAAAAAAAGCTGTATTAGCCAGGCACGGTGGTGCAAGCCTGTAGTCCCAGCTACTTGGGAGGCTGAGGAATGAAAATCACTTGAACCTGGGAGGCAGAGGTTGCAGTGAGCTGAGATCGTGCCACTGGACTCCAGCCTGGGCAACGGAGTGGAGACTGTCTCAAAAAAACAAACAAACAAACAACAACAACAAAAACTGCAAAATGTCAATTTCCTCTTATGTGTGTCCTTCTCTCCAGCCTATCCTGAGCCCAGGGAGGCAAGATTCCCTTAAGCTCTTGCTATCAATGGCCATGATAAAGGAAAGAAGACACTTCGTTAGCCTAAAAGAAACATGATAGAGAAATTAATTGGTTGATTAAAAGAAGAACATCAACTGGTCTTGCACTGCATCTTCAGTCCCATGGCATACTACACAAATCCCTCTTCTTTGAAAACTGTCTGGGAAACAAACCCCTCCAATCACCCTCTCCACTTCCGAATTGCTCCTCCCAGCCCTCATTCTCTTCACCTCCCACCTCCCTCCCCATTCTTACTAATATGGTCTTTGTTAATTTCCAAGCCTTGAGGGAGCAACTGTTCTCAACCCATCCTTCTAGTCTAACTGTTCAATACTGTTGATAGCTCTTGAGCCCACAGAAGAGTATTCGATCGGGCTCTTTGAGAAGAAAGCAGGCGCTTCAGACACCCTGGGGTTTGTTGGGGGAATTTTGTTGCTGTTCCCAGGAAGCTGAGAAATCCACTCCCCATTCAAAGACAACCATTATCGATACCCCTAAGAAGTCCAGTGTCGTAAGCAGTTGCTCTAGCCAAGTCAGATAAGAATTTTAAAATTTCCCCCCAAAATACCTTCTCAGTATATATTTATTCAAAGCATTTCTAGTTATAGAATTTCTGAGCTGGGAGACTTTTGGCCAGGTGTATCGTACCATGAAAGGATGCCCCAAAATGTCAAATCACAGGGTTACTCCAATGCCTAGCCATTTTTCTGCTAACACTTCTTAGAACAGTAAGACCAGCCCAGTCCTACTGGGGCCACCCACATCATACTAACTCCCCATCAGGAGGAGGCACTTGCCTGGGAAGAAAACAAACTATAATCCTTTGGTCCAATGTACTCAACTCACAATGGGGGGACATGCGACACATTGATCTAAAGGGACTTGGCAGAGAACACAGAGCTGAGTGGAGCAGAGCCTGGCCCCGCGAGAATAACTCACGGGTCAGTGCTCTTTCCTTCATACCAACCTGCCTTGTAACGTGTATTTTTTAAAGGTCTTGCTTAGTAACTAGTATCCATTTCTGGCCATCTCTGAAACACTCAGAACATAGGGAGGGAAGAGGCTCTCAGTTTCCTTCTTAAACCAGTCTGAATTTTCTCCAGAGGAAAAAAAGGAAAACCTTTTTGAAGACACACGATGGAACCTGTTTAGACCTAAATCAGCTGTTCTGCCCTGATCTTGGTGGTTACCTGTAAGCTTGTCCTTACTGAAACACTGAAGGGCTTATAGCCACCTTGGCTCATTGCAGTAACAGTGGTCAAAACAACTACCATTTACTGAAGATCTAATATAGACTAAGACATTTATCATTTCTCATCATCAAGCCATCCTGCAAGTTAATATTGTCCCCTCCACTCCATTTTACAAATGAAAAAACAGAGACAGGGGAACTCAGAGAAGTTAAGCTACTTGCCCAAAGTCACACAGCCCATCAGCAGTACAGACAAGATTTGAATCACACCCATCTGACACAAAGGCTAATTAGCTTTCCATTAGATCATGCTGTTTCCACACTGGCTTAGTAATTTAATACTGCCCTATAGCTCTGAGGAATTAGTTGGTACTGGTACCAATAACTGGCTCTTCTGGTTTACATTTTTGCAAACATGAAAGGCATACAGTCTCACACCATTCCTATGGATACAAGAATCTTATATCACTAAAGCAATCAAACAAGATGAGTCAGTCTTAGCAAAAGCACTAAGTATAGTCTGGGGCTAGAGCTATGAAGGCCAAAAGAAGTGTAGTAGAAAAGACAGGGAATTTTAAAAAATATATTATTGTAAAGCAAAAGGAAAAAGATGCAAACAAAACAAACTTGGTTCATTTATTTTTTTCATCCTCAGCAAATGTTAGCTGAGCTCCTACTATGCAGCAAACTTTCCTAAGTTAAATCAGAAAGGAAATGGTTCAGGCTGGGTGTGGTTGCTAAAGCCTGTAATCCCAGCATTCTGGGGGCCTAGGGTGAGAAGACTGCTTGAGGCCAGGAGTTCGAGACCAGCCTGGTCAACATAATTAGACCCATATCTCATCCAAAAAAAAAAAAAAAAAGAAAGAAAGAAAAAGAAAAGAAAGAAATTAACCAGGCATGGTGGCATGCACTTGCTACTCATGCGGCTGGGGCAGGAGGATCCCTTAAGCCCAGGAGTTCGAGGCTGTAGTGAGCTAGGATCGTGCCATTGCACTCCAGCCTGGGTGACAAATTAAGACCCTGTCTCTAATTTTGAAAAAAAGAAAAGAAAGAGAATGGTTCAATTTCCCAACTTCTTTTTGCCTGTTTACCCACTTTAGTATCAGCTGTACCAAAGGTAATTCATCAATAGTTTTCCTTCATCTTCCCATTTTACCCTGATACTGATGCTATAAATGGAAGAGAATCTGCTGCTAACTTAACTTCTGTTTCAGTTACTGTAGCATCATGTTCTGCCCATATCTAAATGGAAAGTACCAATAGAGTTTGGAAGATGTACATGCAAATGATGCAGGCACCTGAAATGATCCACATTCTCCTGAAAAGAAGCTTCAGATATGCAGCTTTCAACGGTGCCACTAGTCAGCAGCTCTCTGTTGTTACCCAAAGAGATATGTTATCATAGAGATATGAAAAACAAACCAGGCCTTCAACAAAATACCCACTATGATGCCTCCTAAAACGTCTTCTAGAAGGTGCTAAGTCATAAAGAACCAGCGGGAATTAGCCAGACAAAGGGGATAGGGGACAGGGAAGGTGGTGTGAGAGTCAGAGGGAATGAAATGTACAAAAGTCCAAAGGCCGGAAAGAATGTGGAGTATTTAACAAGCTACAAATAGAATATTATTGCTAGAAGGTGGGGAGATGAGAAGGCTACAGAGGTACGCAGGGACCAGGATTTTTAAGAGACTTTGCCACAACAACCACTCATTCATTCTCCTATTCATGTTGCAAATGCTAATGAGTACCTACTACATTAGATGCCAGGCCCTGGAGATACCAAGATGGGTTAGCAACGTCTCAGGATACCTGTACCACAACTACTCAACAATGCACTGTACCTTAAACAGCTAGTTAATGTTGAGTGTATAATGTAAACTGGAATACAAGAAAACACCCCTTGCTTCTACTAATCGACCTACTAAATTAAACTATTCACACCTGGAGGGAAAAGACTCACTTGCATTGGTGTACAAAGAACATTAGCCAACCCCCTAGGATAATGTTGGACTTCTGCCCACTCGTCAATATTAATTGCAATATATATAGATGCAACCCTGTGTTCTCCCATTTCACCAATTTCAGCCCTCACACCAAGCTACTTTTCTTAATCCAACCGAAGTTTCAGGGCACACACTTCAGTGCAGCTGGGACTATAAAAATTCACATGGTATCATTAAGCACTACTAGGTGAAAAAAAACAAATGAAAATTACATGCTTTCCAACAACACAGACCAAGGTCTATTTTCAAAGGGAAAAAAAAACTGCCTGAATGCTGTTAAAAAGAGGCAAAATGATTTTCCAACAATGACCGTATTTTTCCACATAGTAAGATTCTAATTTAAAATTTTTAAATAAAAATGTCTCAATACCAGTGACTTGATTCCGTTACAGTAACTCAAAGTTATTAAGCTACAGAGTATCTTCTTTGGTGACTAAAACTGATTTTAAGAATTTAAAGATTCAGGTCAGGCGCAGTGGCTCACACCTGTAATCCTAGCACTTCGGGAGGCCGAGGCGGGCAGATCACTTGAGGTCAGGAGTTTGAGACCAACCTGGCCAACGTGGTGAAACCTCGTCTCTACTAAAAATACAAAAATTAGCCAGGCATGGTGGTGCCCACCTGTAATTCCAGCTACTCAGGAGGCTGAGGCACGAGAATTGCTTGAACTCAGGAGGCGGAGGTTGCAGTGAACCAAGATTGCACCAATGGATGCCAGCCTGGGCAACAGAGCAAGACGCCATCTCAAAAAAAAAAAAAGATTTAAAGAATCAGGCATTCACCTTGATTTCCATCACTTCCAACTATGCAGAATCTACCTGGTTTATGGTAGATTAACAGCAACACAGTGGGAAGAATGGTGCAGAGCTTCAGAATTATATTCAACTGAAAAGAGCCATCCGTAAGATTCACTAATCCACAGCTCTGTCAGGTGTCCTAACAATGTAATATACAACTTAGGGAAGCCATGTGATACCAGTCCTTCCTGAACCCAACCTCATCACACCCTACTTTCAGCTTCTGGTAAATATCTTTTTAAGTGAAATTAAGTTAAACACACATAAAACTATTTAAAAAAAAAACTATGAAAGATGAGAATCCATTCATTGATACACAGACTTTACACACGTCTTCTGTGTGGTCAGCAGAAGTAGTCCCTTTCTGGAGAAAGCACACCATGTGGGGGTGGAGGGTATGGGGACAGTGGGCAACAAGTAAATCCACACAATTACAACAGGAAAGCTTTGATCATGGAGTCACTTACACAGAGCGTGACACAGAATCACAAACACAGAGTACTATACAAGCCCAGGAAAATTCAGGAAGGCTCCTTGGAGGAGGGGTTTTTGAGCCAAGTCTTGTGGAACAGAGAGCAATTATTAAGAAAATTTTAGGTAGTTGTGCACATATAATTAGGCTCTGCCAAGTTAGCAACATTTGCATTTTAGAGCGTTTTCTCCTGGGTTGGGTTTCATAGAATGGGAAAGACTGCTCAATAAAACCTGCTCCTTAGCAGCTCAGCCCAGGGACACTGGAATTTCTCACAAGGTATGATCGGCCGAACAATGACCAACCACCAAGATGTCTATATCCTAATGTCCAGAATGCATGAATACAACAAAAGGGACTCTGCAGCTGTGATCAAGTTGAAGATCTTGAGGTAGACAGATTACCCTGGATTATTCAGGCAGGCCCAATGATGCAACTGGAAGGCTCCTTAAGTGGGAGGCAGGAGGGTCAAAGGTCCAGGAGAAGGAAGCGGAGCTCAAATGCAGTGATGCAGTGAAGAGCCAGCCTCTAGATGCTGGAAGGCCCAAGGAACAGGTTCTCCCCTGGAGCCTACAGAAGGAACCAGTCCTCGGAACACCTTCATTTCAGCCCAGTAACACTGGATTTGAGACTCCCCACCTCCAGACCTATCAGGGAATAGATCTGTGTTACTGTAAACCATTAAGTTCATGTTGATTTTTTACAGCAGCAATAGGAAACTAAAACACAGGACTTGTAGTCATACAAAGAAGAGTTGAATTAAATCGGCAGTGACTTGACCCCACAAACCCAGGGCACCAGGACATGTCAGAGAAGAGAGAAAATGTGACAGCGTTCATTAATGAAGAGTTAAACCTCACCAATAAAATTTAAAGCAGAAGAACGCCAAATGGTTTGACTGGATTATATCACTGAGAATCAGCAATCATCTACAGTGCAGGAAATTAACATGTGAGTGCCCATGATGCACCCAACACCACCCTAGGCTCAACACCTGCATATAACGCATTACTCCAGAGACACCTACACACATGCCCATGTGTGAAAAAGAAAGTAACTAAGTATATACCAAGAGGGCAGAGACTTTTGTCCCATTCATTCACTGCTATATCTTTAGCACCTAGGACGATGCTTGGCACATAGTAGATACTCAATTAATACTTAGTGAATTAATGAACATCTGGAGATAAACCTTGATAATCTATTGGTGAATAACATCTAAGTCATCCAGTAGATAATGTTTCTTCTGAAAGGTTATGTGACCAACCAGACCCTACAGATTTTGAGAAAACATCCTCCTCATAATTGCACTTTGTTTTAGCCATGAAGTCCAATATGCAATAGAAATAGAAAAACAAAAATTTCAGAAAGAATACCAGTGAAATCAGGTTATACGGCAGTATGTTAGCTTCGTGTTCCTACTGTGCTTAAGGGAAGCATTAATTTCCTCAATAATTTTTCTCCTTGGCTTAGTGCTGAAATGGCACAAAATAGGTGGAGGTCTGATTCTGATTTACTATTAATGCCACAAGCATTTCAAGAATAAAATATCTACAAGCAGATTTGGAAGCCCCTTAATTAAATAAAATTTTAGAGGCACTTGAAATATTCCAAAATTAAGAGGTAAAGGGGAAGGCAATGTCATACTCTGACTGATGAGGATGAAGTAAAAGCAGTGGCTAAACTGAGGCAGGTCACACATTTCCAAGAGGACTCTGTGTCAGGTGCGCCTTGATGCTGAGTCCCATTATTCTTTTTTCTTCTGCTAAAAATGGACCCAGGTTGGAATTAAGTAGCTGCAGACCTTGAGCTAATGGCTAATACAAAGGAAAATAAACATCTACCCATTCTTTCAAAGACTTGTTCTCTGAGCATGTACCCTGTGCCAGGCCAGGTGCTGGATCCTGGAGAGAGAAAAGCAATTGTTACTAGTTACTGGACATTTTCTTTGTACCAAGTAGCCATGCTACAAATGGAGGTATGGTCCTATTACTGTCAACCTCATTTGCACAATGAAGAAACTAAGGCTTAGAGAGTTTTCCTAACTCTCCCAAGTTCTTGTGGCTGTGCTTGGCAAAGTAAGAATCTGAATTCAGGTACATGTAACTCCAGGGCCCACATCCTTAGGTACAAATGTCCAAGTGCCTCTGCCCCATAGAGGCCCAGCATCTGAGCTTTGCCAATCACTAAATGCCGTTATAAGGTAAGACCCCAACACTCACATGTACACACACACGGTAGTCTGGGAATGAATCAGGAGACAAAGTTCTCCAGAGAGCTATCTGCCATAGGAACACAAATTGTTTAAAATCTTCTAGAATACTGGTTCTCACACTTTCACATACATCATAATCATCTACAGGGCTTGTTTAAAATCAGGCCCCACCCCTAGAGCTTCTCACTGAGTAAGTCGGGGGTGGGGACCAACATTTGCACTGCTAACAAGTCCCCATGTTATGCTAATGCCACTGATCCAGGAACTACACTTTTGAGAACCACTGATCTATTAATCTGCAACATCACCTCTGTCAGAGCAAGGATTCTTTTTTGTTCACTGTATCTAGAACAATCTACTTGGCACATAATAGGTATTCAGAAAATATTTGCTGAATGAATCAATCTGCTTTGTATTTGAAAAACAGATAACCGGATTTATTAGAATTGTGTGTAAACTAAGTAGATTCTTACTGTGGCCTAGGAAAACATTTCATGATTAAGGGCTTAAGCACCTTAAAGAATACTGTGGCATATCCTTTGGCCTCTCAGAGGCCTTATGTCAACGTATGGGTACTGTTAACACCACCTTTCTCAACCTCGGTGGTATGGCATATTGGAAGGACCATGGAATCAGAGCTTACCCTGCACTTGCTGAATATAGACTCGATATAGCTACTCTATATGGCCAGGTGTCCTGGGATAGGTTCCAAACCTAGTGGATCAGAAATAACATATGAAGGCAAGGCACAGTGGCTCATGCCTGTAATCCTAGCACTTTGGGAGGCCAAGGTGGGCAGATCACTTGAGTCCAGAAGTTCTAGACCAGCCTGGGCAACATGGTGAAACCCCATCTGTACAAAAAAATACAAAAATTAACCAGGTGTGGTGGCAGACACCTGTAGCCCCAGTTACCTGGGAGGCTGAGGTGGGAGGACTGCTTGAACCTGGGGGTCAGAGGTTGCAATGAGCTGAGACTGCACCACTATACTCCAGCCTGGGTGACAGAGTGGGAGGGACCCTGTCTTTAAAAAAACAAAAAGCAGAATGACATATGAAGTGTTCAGCTACATGTCTAGTGAGTAAGAAGTTCTAAGTGGTAGCTATGATTAACTTAATCACAAACATACGTTTGTCAAGGTCATCAGAGAAATCTTGTTCTTCAGCAAACAGTCATTCACTTAAATAATATTCAACAAATATTTACTGAGCATGCCACTGACTGTGGGGCACATGTGGTTCTCTGATGCCACGCTGACTAATAGGTTAAAAACAAAAATCTCCATCCTAAATTTCTTGCCACCCCAAAAAGCTTGTTCTTCTAAAAACCTTTTGAGGAAAAGCCCAAAAGAGCATTCTGGAAGAGCTTAGGGACAAGAATCAACAAGAGTTATGTAAACAGGTGAAGCCAGGTGTTCCTCCTCTCTGAGGAGACACGAAGAGAGTTGAGTCAACAATCCTACTCGCTCTTGGGCCAAGCAGTCGCCACACAAGCGGTTCTCCTCGCCAGGGTGAGTGCATCAGAAGAGAGGCTGCACTGTTCAGGAGCCACAGCAAGGAGGGTCCATCCCCGGCTCTCTCTTAAGTTCTTGGCACAGGGGCAGGCGCTTTCCATGTGCCCTAAGAGCCTGTGTCTGTGTCTTCCTGTCTCCTTACCGGAAAAACTAAAGGCAACACATCTTGTAAAGTGCCCCTCCCTCCCGAAAACACTTCAGTGAAAGTTAGTATCTACTGTGTATATATTTGCATCAAGTTATACCGTTAAGAAAACTAAAATTACGAGTAAAGGAATTAGAGAGCAGAAAGTAACCTTTACAATTTCATAATCCTGTGTTCATTCATAATGTAAAAGACTTAGAAAGGTACCCATTTGGACTCTTGGGAATAGGAAAATCCCAAAACCATAGTTTACTATTTTCAAAGGAGTTTCAATATGGGCAAAAATCAAGAATACTGTTCTTCAGGCTAAGTTTATATCCTGAAATATGCTTCTTGTAAGAAATAATTTTAAAATGTGGAATCTAAAATTAAGCAAAAATAACATACAGTATGTTCAGCTTTGAAATTTGCCGGGACTCAGCCAAGTTTACCATAAACAGAAGGCAGAATTGTCTATTTTTAACTTTACAGCCCTTGGGTGATTAAAATTTTGAGCCATAATAAACAACTTTTTTCTTCTTTGCAACATAATTTCTCATTTGAAATTGCAGTCTTTTTAGTTGTTTAGGAGATATGGATTGAGCACTTCATGTTTTTAAATTCTTTCTTAAATGGAAATTTCTTGCAGAGACTAAATGCATGCATTAGCATGCCAAAAGCACAATTTTTTTTTTTTAAGGAAAGAAAAGGAAAAAAAACTCACTAAGGCCCAAAACTGAATTGCCTTCTCTTCTTTCTATTTTAACTGTTTACCAATTAGCACCTTTGGCCAGCTGCATTTTAGGAGAACATAGTAACAGATCCGCCATTCTGTTCCTGTAAGTAGAATGGCCGCAAACACCTCACCATCACGGGGGCAGATTATTGGGCAATTTGGCATGTTTGCATACCTATTATGTCAGCAGAAACTGTATCTTCCCACCAGGAAAGACAGTTGCATATGCAATAAACCAATAGCCTTTGACATGTCAGTTAATTACATCAGTTAGCCACTATCTCCTGAGCATGATCGCTGTGTTAATGAAACTATTTTGGTGTGGAAATGAAACAGGTCAAGACAAGTAGATCAGGAAATAGAAGGGATTTAGGGTCATATAGAAAGTCAATGTGCTGAGTCACACAGAACTTAACCTTGGCCTTCAGAAAGGATATAAAATTTTTCCCTCTGCTGTGAGTAATGTTAGTATTCCTTTTTCTTGGCATCACTTCGTGCTAAATAGCTCAAAACTCTTTAGAAATTATCAAGTTTAACAGTATTGCCTCCCCTTCAAGGGCTGTTAACAATCGAGTTATTGGAGATAAACCAAAGACCAGTATTATAGGCGCTGACTTTAAAAGACATGGTTTTTTTTCCCCCTGAGTAAAGGGGACCAGTCAAAGATGATGCCCGGTTTCTGGTTTGGACGACAGGGTTAAGAATGGTGACAGCTACTTGTTTTGAAACAAGATGAGCAGATGTATTGGAAAAACAGATCAGATATTGCAAGGAGATGTTAACTTGGGTTTCTGTTGTTTTTTTCATGCTGAGCAGGGGTTTGAGGCTCTAGAGAAGGACTTAACTCCTTCTTCGATCTTGTAGCACATCAGAGACTATCCCACCCCTACTTTCACCAGACACTTAAATATTTAAGCTTGTTACTGAGGTCATTCTAAGAAATCTCTTCTTCAATTTTACAGACATGCCTTCTTCAACTGCCCGTCACATAATATGATTTCCCAATTCATTGGCATCGAGTCTCCATTCTGTTGGCGTTCCTCTTAGCATTCTGTGCCCAAAACTGGGCAAAAAAAAAAAAAAAAAAAAAAACCCAGCTGTGGTTAGACCACAGCCCAACTACAGCACCAGCTTTTTGAATGGCAATGTCACACTGCTGGCCCCTGTTAATCTTGTGGTCACCATACACTCTTGGGTTAGCTGTCAAATTAGGGTTTCTCCACCCTGCTTTTGTATAATGAAGTTTCTAATCCTAAATGCAGGATGCCCCATTCTGAGCCTGTTTGTATTTAACAGAAAATAGGGATTTTCGTCCCATTTTTATCTTACCAATTCACTCCCCAACTGTGCCAGAATGCCCAGAGGTAATAGCCTTTTGGAAGGAGCTTTCCCATGCTACATTCCAGCAGGGTAAAACAATCTGAAAATGTTCTTGCCCCTTTTATCACTGAGTTCTCCATATCCCAGGCTATTTTATAAATAGAATTTTTCCCTACAGAAAATATGTAAAGCCATTGCGAAGAGAAAACTTTTCTACACATAGAAAACATGATAATTTCTCATTAGTTTTGGAACAATACAGGTCTACTCTAAGTTGTTTCTTATTCTGGAGTACAAAATTTGCATTTTATAATGTAAATTGGGACACTGTATACTAGCTTTCTCCTACCCATTGCCTCCCCCCGCCCCCGCCCGCCAAAAAAAAAAAAAATACAGCCAGATATTTACCAACATCCTGGAGGCAGTAAACAATTTCGGTTTTTCTGCAGGCAGTAGCATGGAATGTTGATTGCATTTACTTAGCTATCAGTATGTAACAAGCTGTAGAGCCTTCAGGCCAGGGGTACAGAAAAGTGTAAAGGAAGGAGCTATGTTAAAACAAAATGTATATGGGCCAATTTTCAGTACTTATCTCAGCCTTGCAGCCCTACTGCCTGCCTGTCTCAGGGTCATACAAGGATTTAGAGTTTAGGGGGTGAGTGGTCTCATGGCATTTAACTCTTTGGATATTCCTCTCATCATTTATTGGGTATCATTCGAGTTTGGTGGAGCCCAATGTCTGGATTTCTACCAGGTCATGCATCTGCAGGAAGAGCTATTCTTCCACTGAGTTTTCAAAACATCCTGCTAATTTGACCCATTAGCAGATACCAACTTTTTTTTTTTTTTTTTTTTTTTTGGTAAATTCCCTAAGTATAGAAAACAATGTTATACCTCCGTGGGAGATGGCAGGAAAAATATGCTTAGCCTGATGCTTATCAACTTTAAAACTTAATAGTTCAGCTCATGACATAGTCTTTTAAAGAAGAATGGGAATACATCTGTCGGGGTGTAATTTAGGTAGCAGTGCCTGAAGGCAGGAGGAAAGACAAGATCACTTCCCAATAACTGTACATGTTCATGAACAATGCCACCACAGCAGGCACCAGTGACTCAGAATCGAGACAAGAGAGAATATTATGAAATCTCATAGTTAGGAAATGCTGATCTGTATCAGCTACTAACTCCCCAGACTAGCTTTCGGCAAAGTTACCTTCTTTCTCTACTTTCTGATCCGCAAAATAGATGCCCAGAAATCCCTCGGGTGAAAGATGATCTCTTTGAATAGCACCAACCTGGATTAAGAGTCGGCTACAGGCCCATTTGCTCGGCTGCACCAGCAAGCTGCACGGAGCCCCTCAGCAAAGCCTGCCCGGACCAGTAGCCTAAGATACTTGTACCTCAGTTACCTAATAATGGGATCTACATGGGGAGTTCCGGACTATCCTCTGCATGTTTTTTCCTCCACTTTTATCCTCAGAGTAACCAAATGTGTTAAGAATTATTTCTGTTTTACAGATTAAGAAATCAAGCCCAGAGAGTTTTGTTCTTTTGTTTTGTTTGAGACAGTCTTGCTCTGTTGCCCAGGCTGGAGTGCAGTGACGTGATCTTAGCTCACTGCAACCTCCGCCTCCCGGGTTCAAGCAGTTCTTGTGCTTCAGTCTCCCAAGTAGCTGGGATTACAGGCACCCAGTTAATTTTTGTATTTTTAGCAGAGATGAGGTTTCACCATGTTGGCCAGGCTGGTCTCGATCTCCTGGCTTCAAGTGATCTGCCTACCTCGGCCTCCCAAAGTGCTGGGGTTACAGGCATGAGCCACTGCGCCCAGCCCCAGTGAATTTAAAATGACTAATTCTAGCCAGGCACGGTGGCTCACACCCGTAATAGTAGCACTTTGGGAGGCCGAGGTGGGCGGACGACTTGAGGCCAGGAGTTCGAGACCAGCATGGCCAACATGGTGAAACCATGTCTCTACTAAAGATACAAAAAATTAGTCTGAGTGCAGTAGCACATGCCTGTAATCCCAGCTACTTGGGAGGCTGAGGAGGGAGATTTCTGGAACCCAGGAAGCGGAGGTTGCAGTGAGCTGAGATTGTACCACCGCACTCCAGCCTGGGAAACAGAGTAAGATCTTGTCTCAATAATAAATAAATAAATAAATAAATAAATAAACAAACAAACAAATAAAATGACTAATTCTTTATCAGAAAGTGAGAAACCAGGATTTACCACAAATCTGTCCGGCAACAAAGATTCTTTCTACCTCTAAGGGTGGTGGGGTCAAAGATTCTTTCTACCTCTAAGGGTGGTGGGGTAAAACCACTGTATTTTGAAAATAACTTTGGCCAGAGCAGTGGCTCATGCCTGTAATTCCAATACTTTGGGAAGCTAAGGCAGGAGCATCACTTGAGTCTGGTGGTTTGCAACCAGCCTGGGCAACATGGTGAGACCCTATCTTTACAAAAAATACAAAAATTAGCCCTACGTGGTGGCGTGTGCCTGTAGTCCCAGCTACCTAGGAGGCTGAGGTGGGAGGATCAATTGAGCCTGGGAGGTCAAGGCTGCAGCGAGCCATTATCTCACCAATGTACTCCAGCATGGGTGACAGAGAAAGACCATGTCTCAAAAACAAAAAAGAAAAAAGGAAAGAAAATATTTTTTGTTTTACTAAGAAATTGGAAAAAAATACTCTTGCTCTTGACTTCTCTGAAGGGAAAAGTTACCATAATCACTTTTCTCTTCACTCCATCTAATTTGGCCTCCTTCAATAGAAAAAAAAAAAAAGAGGTGGGAGAGAGAGAGAGAGAGAAAGAAAATGTGCTAACATTAAGAATAGACAGTGTTTAATTTTTACATGCTAATTAATGCATAAACAACATCTATCACAACTGGAAAAGATTTCACAGCTTCCATATTTCTTCTTCCAAACAAGCAAGAGGATCATAATCAACCTTGGCAAATCTCTGCTAAAAGCTAGGCTTAATACTATGGGCAATGAAAACACCTACGCCTGAGGTAGAGAGATTTTAAAGCAGAGGTCTTTAGTGCAGGTTGCCTACCTGGAATCACTAGAGGAGCTTTAAAAAATGCTAACGCCCAGATCCCACTCCAGGTGATTCTAAATGGGCAGCCAAGGTTGAGAACCAGAGTCTGAAAGCAATGGAATGAGGGTTAAAAAAATAACACAAAATAGTTTTATTTAGAACTCACCCAAGGATGAAAAGAGCCAGAAGGGAGAGAGATTACATATCCCCGTAATTTATATGACAAATTTGATCTTACAAGTTATGAACATACCTGCACTAGTTTGCCATCCAACCACCCCCAAGAACTAGGCCAACACTGAGTTCCAGTCCTGACTCTTCTATGCTAAAATGCAATTCACGTAGCCTTTCTGAATCTCTTTTTTCCTTATCTGCAAAATTAGGTCAGTAATAACTACCTTGTGGAGTTGTTATCAATATTAAATGAGATGGTAAGGTATACAGGATGTTTGGCATGCAGCACTTAACAAATGTTTCAACCTACTCTCTCCATTTGGCTACTGTGGGCTTCAAATAATTTGCTTCTTATGTTTGAGTCACCTTTTCTTCCAAAAGCTATAAGTTTCTGTCCGCTAGCATTTTCCCTTAAACTTATCTTGATCCATAAGATTACGCACACAATATTTACATTCATAATCCAATTCTCACATATTTATAGGACAGTTTGCTTGAAACCACTCTTAACTCAGTGGAAGTTCCTTCTAAATATGGGGTACCTATTTCTGAACACCTATTATGTGCCAGGCATTGTACCAAGTGTTCTATACTTACTATTTTAATTTTCTAAAATTCTTATAAAGCCTCTTCAGGAATAGAATTATTTATCTCATTTTATAGATGATGAAATTGGATTTCACAAAGGTGAAGTAATGTGCACCGAAAAAACCCCCCCAAACAAAAAAACTAGTAGGGGAAGTTGCTAGAATTTGAACCCAGGTCTGCCAAAACTTCCAAGTCAGCCCATAATTGTGTCTCCCAGCATATAAAGATCCATAAAATGCTTTGTGCATAGGTGTTAACATGTCAAATTCTGGAAGATTAATAAGTATAGCCTTTATTTTTATATTTAGAACAACATAATAAAATTAATTTCTAAATCAATATTGAAATTCATCCAGTTTCCATGTTTCGCAATTGGTTTTAATTTGCCTCTCATAGGCGTTAGAAAGGCTCCACAGCACCTCCCCCAGCCTTTTTATACTACTCAAGCTTTTTATTAGCCCTAATGTTGATTGCCTTCCCAGGGCATCTACTAGTTTGCGTATAATTTGTCTAATTAAATTTAAAGAAGAGATGTTTCAGGGAGCACCATTTCATCATTTCTTCTTACACTCCATGCTGTGGACTTTAATGAGGACCTAAACCCCATCTTAACTCAGCCTTAGTTTCAGCACAGATGAACTATGCTTGTTAAGACAGTCTTCAGTTGTCAGGAAAAATAGCTTTATTAAGGTCACGGAATGCAGAGAGTTTGATTAAAGCTAATCAAGGAAGAAAGCCAGGCTGTGACACGGTGAATCCAACCTCAGTACAACATGTTTTAACATAACTTAACCTAGCCTATCTGTTAAATGCAGACATAAGTAAGATCAGGTTTCCGAAAAGAATGCATGGACAAATGCAGACATATTACATGATGTAGTATATCTCGTGAGTTCAACTTAAACAATGCTTTCAATAAGCAACATATATTTTAAGCTACATGTATGCGAGCGTAAGCGGAGGGTTCTGATTTTTTTCAATAGCCCTTGCTACTTAAAAAAAGCTGGGGTAGGGGAGACTACATATATTCTTTCAGATTTAAAATGCGTGCTCTATGGATATGTCCAGACAAGGATAAGGATGGCACATAGACGAAACTGTCTTATTAACCTGAAAGTTGGTTTCCTGGTTCAGTAAACCTGGATGACTGTCGTTAGCAAATGTAATGCTAAGGTGGTCAACACTAACAATATTTTGGAAAGTTCTCCTAAGGTGAGGCCTATAATATTGATTTAGGTTTAAGAAAATTCAAATCCCAGCACTTTGTGAGGCTGAGGCAGGAGGACAGCTTGAGCCCAGTAGTTTGAGACCAGCCCACACAACACAGGGAGACCCTGTGTCTACAAATAATTTTTAAAAATTATCCAGGTGTGATGGCACATGCCAGTAGTCCCAGCTACTTGAGAGGCTGACATGGGAGGATTGCTTGAGCTCAAGTTTCAGGCTGCAGTGAGCCATGACTGCGCCACTGCACTCCAGCCTGTGCAACAGAGCAAGACCCTGTCTCAAAAAAGAAAAAAGAAAGTTCAACAATCAACAGTTAGGTAACAAGAAGGCATGATAAAAATTTAGGAACCTAAAGATGTAGGTTACAGTCTTGACGCTAAAGAACCCAGTAGCACGACCTTGCAAAAGATCCTTGGTCTGGGCTACCTGGGCCTCAGTTCTCTTAAAAGCCAAATCAAAGTAGCTGTATTAAATGATCTCTTAAATCTAAAGTTTCCATGTTATTAAAGTTGATTTCCAAATCTAAAGTCTTACAATGCTTTTAAAGTCTGCTGCAGCCTATACACAGTTTTCTTCCTAATTTAAAGCAATGTGTTAATATAAAGAACCTCCATATTATTTGTTTCTTAGATTTAAGAATTCTGATAGAAAAAATAAATGTGGGAAAAGAATGGGTGTAAAGCCTCGAGTTGTTCCAAAAATAAAAAGTAATTGTCCTAATGACGCCATCTTTTCTCTTTGTCAATACCATTCTATTTTCTTTTCAGTTGCTATCTTCTTCTCTTCCAGATGTGCAACTCTGGGACATATTATTATTACAACACATAAGCATATGCATATATACACTTGTTTAAAAAAATTTGTTTTTATTTATGATAATAGAGACAGGGTCTCCCTATGTTGCCCAGGCCTGTCTTGAACTCCTGGACTCAAACAATCCTCCCACCTCAGCCTTTCGATGTGCTGGGATTACAAGCATCAGTAACCTCATCCAGCCTAAAAAGTAAATTATAGCTAATTCTACGACACAGACTTTAGTTTACTATGTTAAAATGCATGATTATCAATCCACCATAATAACAACTAATAAATACTTCAACTTAGTCATCAATCTTAAGAGTGGTCATAACTAAAAGACTCTAAGTCATATGTTATAGCCTGTATAGTTCAAACAGGTAAGAAAGTTCATGAGACATGTAAGCAAGATTTCTGAGTCCCACAGAGTAACATGGACATGAGAAAACAGCAGACCCCGCTTTCCACTACAGCCTGACTCACCACCTTTTACTGATTTACTGGAGGTAATGGAATACAGAGGCTTAGTAAGAACAGAGGAGAGCTGTGCATAATGGGATTTAAATAATCTGATTTTCCTAAGAAAAGAAATTGAGAAGCAAAGAGATAAAGGATTTTCTGTACACACACACACACACACACACACACACACACACACACACACTCACACACACAGTCTGTAAAGCACCCTGTAGTTTCCAAAGCATTTTTGTATCCCTCAGATATCATTTAATCATCAAAAAAACCCACAAAAGGCAAGGAGAGCAGATACTATTATTCCTCTTTTTGTTTTTTGTTTTTGAGACAGAGTCTTGCACCGTCACCCAGGCTGGAGTGCTCACTGTAACCTCTGCCTCCTGGATTCAAGCGATTCTCCTGCCTCAGCCTCCTGAGTAGCTGGGATTACAGGCATGCACCACCACGCCCGGCTAATTTTTGTATTTTTAGTTAGAGAGATGGGGTTTCACCATGTTGGCCAGGCTGGTCTGGATCCACCCCCTCAGCCTCCCAAAGTGCTAGGATTACAGGTGTGAGCCACCGCACCCAGCCCCTATTATTCCTTTAAGAGACAGGGTCTCACTATGTTGCCCAGGCTGGAGTGCAGTGGCTATTCACAGGCACAATCGTAGCCCACTACAGCCTCAAACTCCTGGGCTCAAGTCATCCTTCCACCACAGACTCCTGAATAGCTGGGCTAGTCCCAGTTTTTTATAAAAAACAGAGGAGCAAAGAAGTTATGTGATTTCAGCAACAATATATTCTTGATTAATGGCAGTGATGGAACCAGACTCCAAGTTTTCTGAATTCTAGTCTAATGGTACCCCCACTAGGCAATGCTGTCAATTTACATTCATTTTGTTCACTCAACAAATATTTACTGAGTACCAGTTGTATGTCAGGCACTGTTCTAGACACTGGGAAAACAAAGAGTGAACAAGACTAGTAAGTTCCCTTCCTCATAAAACATTCTAGTGTACATATGCATGTATTTATAATAACTATAGTTTAATATATATGGCTTTTCATACACTTTTCTATACCAGCCAGTTTATGAGACTCATTAAAAATTAAGACCACATATAAATATTTATTATTTTTTAAGAACTGCATTCATTAGGTCAACAGAGAAAAAAAAAAACTCCAGCCACTCCCGCCTCCCTTCCTTCCTCATTCCTCCACACAGCTAGCCTTTTAAAACAATCTAAGTAAACAGCAAAGTAACATCTATTTGAGTTACACATTGGTTCACATGCTGAGAAGAAGAAAAAAAAATGCCTATAAAAGTCTTTAGAAAAAGGAGAGGTTCAAAATTATGGAGAGGGCTTTTTTACAGGATCGTTTTAAGCACACACAGGATCTTAAAGAATGCACATGGACATCTTGTTTGGAAAAAGTTTATTCTTTTTTCCTTCGTCTTTTTAATCTACACAAAGCACAGTCTTAAAAAGCCTGGGTGGGGGGGGCAGTGTCTGCTCCCCATCTCTAGGTCTGTTGCTGAATGAAAGATCGACAGGAAATTAACGCAGTGGTAGGGAGTTGCTTGCCAAGAGTGAACTCTGAAACAAAAGACCCACTATTGTGTAAGAAAATCTGACATCTATACCCTCAGCCATGTTCTAAACTTCGGTAATCCTTTAGTATGATCTATGATTTGTTATAAGTTTTTAACATGTATATCTAAAGTGTTGTGTTACTCCTCATCTTCCAACTCCTCCTGAAAAAGAAACAGATTTTAGTTTCTTTGGTTCTTTTCTTCTTCCATCCCTTTTCTCCTTAATTGTCTTTTTAGCCAGCAACAGAGTTAGTCAATGAATTCAACCAGCTTCCTTCTTTCACCAGCCATGCCAAAAGACACTATCTTTGTGGCTTAAAGGATTTCAACTGCTCCCAAGTTATCTGAACTTATGGTACTTGAGGTTTGTTGTTTTGGACTGATGTTTAAGAAAATGCTCATTTCTTGATCCATGAGTGAACCTGACATGGCGGTATTTCCTCATTTCTAACAGTTTTCATAACATTAATATCGTGAAAAGAATACTGAAACTGATGGTGGAAGTCTGTAATCTAAGAATCTAAAACTAAACCACGTCCTCCTCGGGTGGATCCAGGAAGCATGATCCATTTATGGGATGAAGTTAAAAGGGGAGATTTCTTTTAGTAATGGGAGTGGACAGGCTGGCTTGACGTTCAGTGCTGATCTCTCAGATAACTTTTCTGAGGGATTTTCCTCATTCTTTTTTGACCAAATGACATAACCAAAGCTTAGCATATCTTCAGTGCTAATCTCAACAAGCAAATTGGGTTTACTTCATTTCTACCAATTGGCTTACCTATATATAATTTTTTCTACAGAAGTGTATAAAATTTTGACCTACCAAAACACAATTATGTTCCTCTGCTATTTAAATAGGTGCCAGTAAAGCCAGGAGTAGGAACAAGTCACCAAAGTATCAGCTGTAGAGGTTTTCTGGGCACACTCCAAAAGTCTACATCTGCTTGGCAACAATTCAGTGAAGAGATATGGTTACTCTTTTAACAGTAACAGAGCTTTCCCAGGCTTCAATGTATGAAAAACAGCTTGGTCTGTATCAGAAAAAAATTCAACCAGATCTGCAAAAATCACATACTTACTATCCTGACTGATCAACTTAAAAATTATTGCCATAAATGAAACCAAAATCATTAATGACATAGTTATCATAGAGTAGCCTGTTCACATGGTTTGAGAGTCCAAGTGGGAATCTTTTTTTTTTCCTTTTCTTTTTGCAACATAAACACTTAAGCATTTAGTGATAAAATATTAAAAGCTAGAGGCTCCAGATCCAATGAGTACAAGTTGCTGATATAGCATCATATACCAAGGAAAGGTGTCAAGCATGCTAAAATATGTCTGTAGCTTAGACATTAGGGGCCCTACTCTTCCCCTAATATGCTTGCCTTGTTCCTACTGTCCACAGTTAAATGCACACATCAGCACTAAAATGCATCCCCTTAAAATCTAGGGAGGAAATTCAACACATCTATGTCAATGAACAAAGTAATTGTCACATTTATTCACTACAAACAACAGATCTAGACACTGTTTTTAATTATAACATTAATTGATCTTTTGTAATCACTAATTAGAATGATAACATCACATTTAGTTACTTTCCTAGCCAGAGTGAACTTCCAGTTGCTGGAAAATGCATCAGTGAAGAAGAGGGTGAGGTGTACAAAAAAGAAAGATTTAGCAAAAAAAAAAAAAAAAGTCATACTATTTTTTTTAAAAGAAATGTTTTACCACAGTCAAGCACATTTTATATTTTAATTAATCTTGCTTCGTGTGAAGATTTCATTTAGTCTCTTTGCAATTAGAGTTCATATTGGTATTATATAAAATGTTGCCCCACTGTTGTGAAATTAGGAACAAGGAAGACTAGATTGATGACCAGAAAAGCTACCTTTTGTGCCTTGAGGAAAAAAGAAACGTCTTATGAATCTGTCATAGCCCTAGTCTGTGAGAAATGTAAAGGACTTTAATGGGTATTTTAGTAGAACCACTTAAAATTAAGTGATGAATTGGAATGGGAAAAGTTATTCCAATAAAAGCAAACAAATTAACTAACCTGACCTTGGTCCACATAAAAGATTCATTTTCTTAATGGAAACAAACTATTTGAGTCTAGCTCAGGTTTAACCACTGAAGTGTATGTGGAACCTAAATTAAGCTACAGAAACGTACGCCCCCCCACACACTCAGGTGCACACACACAGGGAGGTAAGAGTTCTTACAGCTTCGCAATTTGCCACTGGCGTGGTCTAGTAAGACCCACTTCTACAATGATTACCATATGAGTCAGAAACCTGTTAAGACCCAATTAACAAAAATGTTATGCATCACTGATGCATGTTTTGTCCAGAGCTTAATTCCATCGTTTTCCTAAATAAATTCTGTCTTTTCTACTCATTAACTTTCTCTTCCCTTGGGTACAAGTACCAACTTCTCTCCTATGTTGTTTAAAAAGGTTACAGAAGATCTGAAAGTTACAGGGCAATGTGTCTGTCTTTTTGTCCATGACTTAAAAAGAGTAAGATGACATCTGTCTGTTGTACATTTGGTATCTCTGATGCCGTAAAAACCACTAGTCTCCCTGATTTCACTAACAGTCTGAGAGGTAACATAATGTAAACCCCAGACAACTGGAAACAGCCTGGTTTTTTTCTCTTCTTCCTACCTGAATAACCAAAACTGTTTTAATACAAAGTAGAAGTGATTGCTGAGTAAGTCATTCTGGAAGCATAAGAAAAGCTTAGAGTGTAGGCTGGTAAGACTATCATGCTTGAAGCAATCACTGACATTGACTTTAGCTATCTGGAAAAAAAGAAACCAAAGAAGGGTCTTCTTACCAATATAAGAACCACCACACCGGGTCAATTTCCTTGCCTATCAAGCCAAGATTCTAACTCTAACAGGCGCATCCCCTCCGCCCTTTCTTCAGTGCACAGTCTATAGGAAGGTATGGTTGCTCTCTGTAGGAGTAGGAATGTCTCCCCACATCTCTAACTTTATTCGATATTTTTAACATATTTGTTATCTCTAAAGTTCCCTTTGGAGAATGCCCCTAATGTGAAACACTGCAAAGAACTGGTAACTTCAGATTATAAAGTAGCATGACTGGCCAGGCGTGGTGGCTCACACCTGTAATCTCAGCACTTTGGGAGGCTGAGGTGGGCGGATCACTTGAGGTCAGGAGTTCCAAGATCAGCCTGGCCAACATGCTGAAACCCCATCTCTACTAAAAATACAAAAATTACCCAGGCGGGTGGCGTGCACCTATAATCCCAGCTACTCGGGAGGCTGAGGCATGAGAATCGCTTGAATCTGGGAGATGGAGGCTGCAGTGAGCCGAGATCACACCACTGCACTCCAGCCAGGGCGACAGAGTGAGACTCCATCTCAAAAAAAAAAAAAAAAAGAATAAAGAAAGTATCACGACTATTGTCATTCTGTGCATATGTTTCAGTTGCACAGAAACCATCCTTTAATCCTTTAAGGTTGTGTGGATTTATGTGAGATGACTCTGTAAAATAATGGCTGATATACACATAATAAACTAATCCTGGGACAACTGGGCTACTTCATATGGTCTAGAAATTACCTGTCATCTTTTAACATTTTAAAGATTTTTCTAAAACACATAAGTAGGCCGGGCGCGGTGGCTCACACCTGTAATCCCAGCACTCTGGGAGGCCGAGGCGAACGGATCACGAGGTCAGGAGATCAAGACCATCCTGGCTAACACGGTGAAACCCCGTCTCTACTAAAAATACAAAAAATTAGCCGGGCGTGGTGGTGGGCGTCTGTAGTCCCAGCTACTCAGGAGGCTGAGGCAGGAGAATGGCGTGAATCTGGGAGGCGGAGCTTGCAGTGAGCCGAGATCGTGTCACTGCACTCCAGCCTGGGCGACAGAGCAAGACTCCGTCTCAAAAAAAAAAAAAAAAAAAAAAAAACATAAGTAAGCATCACCATTGGCTGGAAAGAGTACTACTCTTCTGGGTCTGTGAGCTTAGGAAAGTCCCTTCACTAAGTATCCTTATCTGTAGAGCATAGGGAATTCTATCAACAGATCTCCCTAAGGTCTCAAGTCTAAAATTCTCTTCTTAACATATGTAAAATCATTAATGTCCATTTCATGTCCATGAATGTCCATTTTATGCAAGCCAGTGCTCATTTTCAACAACAACATGTGATCGGGGTTATGCTAATCAACACTTTTACTTTGGCTACATTTTTTTAAATGTCAAACATAATAAAGGTCATCTTTTTTGGTTTTGAGATGGGGTCTCACTCTGTCACCCAGGTTGGGGTACAGTGGCTCACTGTAACCTCCACCTCCCGGACTCAAACCATCTTCCCACCTCAGCCTCCCACGTATTAATAGCTAGGACTACAAGCATGGCTAATTTTTGTATTTTTCGGTAGAGATGTGGTTTCGCTATGTTTCCTAGGCTGGTCTTGAACTCCTGGGCTCAAGTGATCCACCCGCCTCGGCTCCCAAAGTTCTGGGATTACAGGCCTGAAGATCATCATTTTTGAAGAGGTTCTTCATTTTCCCTGTAGACCATATCTCACTGCGGTCCACTGTTCTTCCTCCTTACAATTTATTAAATGTATTAGGGCTTGGTGCAGTGGCTCATGCCTGTAATCCCAGCACTTTGGGAGACTGAGGCAGGAACATCCTTGAGGCCAGGAGTTTGAGCCAGCGTGGGCAACATAGGGGGACTCCACGTCTACATTATTGAATAAAAATTTAAAAATTAAATTAAATGTATTAGGTGCTCAGTACAAGCGCATTTTTAGGCCATTCAGCCAAAATAAAGTCACATGAAATAAGATTTGCCAGATGCTGGGTTCAGTGCTAGGGAGTCAAAGACTTGCAAAGGTCCCTGCCCTTGAGGAGCTCCCGGTCTACTGGGGAAAATAAAATTCTTTATACAATGGATAAGTTCTGGGCTTACAGAGATATTCTTCAATACCACATCTGTTTTCAAAGGTTCCTGCAGACTAAAGGGTAACCTTCTGGTGAACAATCCTGGGCTTATAATCTAAAACAAAGAAAAGTAGGGGAAAAAAGTGAACTCTGTAACTAAAAATTTAAGGATACTTTTTTTTTAAAAGGCCTGTATAACAATATTGCAGTCTCTTTTTCCATTTTTAAGGGCATAATTATTCTTTCTCAAAGTCCAGGAATATCAAGAGAATTCAAGAAATACTTTAATACTTTAATTTAGTCAGGCATCTTACAAGACCATTCACCATATCTTCTGGCTGAAATACACGGTCTAGTGATGGCTGAGCTATATGAATTTATGGTCATTTGGGGAGCTCTCCTCAAAGAGGTTAGTATATTCATTCGGGAGTAAGTTCTCTACTCTGAGTACTTCTCAATACTTTTTTTTTTTTTAATATGGAATCTTGCCCTGTCACCCAGGCTGGAGTGCAGTGACACGATGCGATCTCAGCTCACTGCAACCTCCACCTCCCGGGTTCAAGCAATTCTCCTGCCTCAGCCTTCCAAGTAGCTGGGGCTATGGGTGTGCGCCACCATGCCCGGCTAATTTTTTGTATTTTTAGTAGAGATGGGGTTTCACAGTGTTAGCCAGGATGGTCTCGATCTCCTGACCTCGCGATCCATCCACCTTGGCCTCCCAAAGTGCTGGGATTACAGGCGTGAGCTGCTCTACCTGGCATTTTTTTTTTTTTTTGAGATGGGAGTTTTGTTCTGTCACCCAGGCTGGAGTGCAGTGGCACGAGCTTGGCTCACTGCAACCTCCACCTCCTGGGTTCAAGCGATTCTATTTTAATCTCAGCGCTTTGGGAAGCCGAGGCAGGCAGACTGCCTGAGGTCAGGAGGAGACCAGCCTGGCCATCATGGCGAAACCCCATCTCTACTAAAAATACAAAAACTAGTCGGACAGTCGGACGTGGTGGTACACATCTGTAGTCCCAGCTACTCAGGAGGCTGAGGCACGATAATCACTTGAACCTGGGAGGTGGAGGTTGCAGTGAGCCAAGATCACACCACTGCACTCCAGCCTGGGCAAGAGAGCAAGACTTTGTCTTCAAAAAAAAAAAAAAAAAAAAAAAAGGAATCTGACAATAGTTACTGACCATTTTTCCAGAAAAATTCACATATAGGCTAAATTCTGCATGCAACTTCAGAAACTTATACATAGACTACAAGTTAACCTATCCTGTTCACCTTGTTCATTATTTTTATTAATGGCTTGACTGATGGCATACTAACAATTGGCTGATGAATCAGGCAGGGAAAGATGAAACTAAAGTATCTTCTGATACTCATATTCTTTAAGGCTATACCTCTAGTATTCAAAAAGAACTCCATATGTTGAAAGATGGATTGCAGTCAATAAGAGGATATTTCTGTGAGTGTGTGTGTGTGTGTGTGTGTGTGTGTGTGTGTGTGTTCATTTTCAAAAAAAACCAACTAGGTAAAAGATGGCAGAGGCCATTTTGGCAGCAGTGGTTGCAAACATACCTGCATAAGGAAAGAGAATTGCATCAGCTCTGTGATCCTCCTGAGGCCGAATCAGGACCAATGAGAGATGTTAATGGGAGGCAGATTTCAGTTAAATAAAAGAAAGAATTTTTAAAGAATCTGCATTATTAGACAGAAGAGGTTGCCTTAGCCATGAAGGGAGCTCTCCCTCATCCTGAGAGGCAGTTTAGTGTAATGCAAGAAGATGGACCTAGGTTCTAATTTCAGATTTGCCTCAAGCTAGACATCTGAACTGAAGCAAGTTTCGTGACACTTATATAAACTTAGTTTCCTCACTTGTAAACTTGAGGGTTATAAAACCTGCACTCATACATAAGTCAGATGAGATGGCGATAAAGTACCTACTCTAGTATCTTGCAGATACTAGGTACTCAACACGAGTTCCTGCAAACCTTCATCCCCACCCCTACCTTCCTCACTTTTCTCTGGAAGTATTTAAGCAGAGGCTTTCAGGGTATCACGAGAGGTTCCTACAGAGGAAGGTGGCTAGACATCATGACCTCTAATTTTAAGTCTAGGGTCTGGTTAGCAAAACTAGGCTTAGGTGATCTCTTCTATATTATGTGTACAAAGTAGAAAACAATTTACTTTCATCTATCTCCCTTCCTTGAGCAGCTACCTTAAAAAACCAGAATGAATGCTCTTGTTTTTCTTCTTAGGTATAATATGCTTGCTAGCTCATTCCACTTTATTTCAAAGAATTTTCCATAAGCTCTTAAATGTTTCCATATGACACCATATTTTGCAGGTAACCTGAGTTCATACCATTCCCCACACACGAGTCCCTATAAAACGTTCCAGGATCTCTTTGTGTGCTCTGAATAGAATTTGTTAGGCTGCCAAGTCATTTGGTCTTCTCCAGATAGCCTTGTCGTTCCTAACTTGGTTATCGAATTCTTTTATCAGCATATTTTAATCAAAGCCTTTCAAAACAGTCTAAGGTTTAGGAAATACCATAAGGTCTAAATGGAAAAGGCAAGAAGGCAAAACAGAACTACTAATCGGGACAAAAGCAAAGGGCTATTCTGACTTTGCTTTAGAATACAACACAGCGGACGCTACTGTCATCTCAGGAGGAAAAAATGCCAGCTCAAATGTCACATGTGAATAAATTATTGGCCATTCATAAACAACAACAAAAAAGGGGATATTCAAGTTTTATTTCTAACACATGGGCTTACAAAAGATCTTTAGTTAGAATAGTTTTATAAAGAGGGAATCTCTCTTTTGTCACGAGATCAACATCTATCACTTACAAATTATTTTAATAAAATTAAACATTAAACAAGGAAGAAAAGTCCCAGGTTCCATGCCTCCTAAGGCAGCACAGATTCACTCCTCTAACAGTGAGAAGCAGAGATGATGGGTGAGATCCAGAGTCACAGCTGCTTTGGAAGCTGCTGGGCTCTCTTGTCATTTCAGAAGCCTTGCTGCACACAGGCACATTTCAACATGGCCACCTGGATTCCCTCCTCTCATGGAGGGAGGCCAGGTTACAGTGGTTCCATCCACCACCACGTCCTGAAACTAAAAGGGAATGCTGCTCTGCAAGGTGTTTGCTGCCTCATATACAAGTTGATTTTTCAAATAGGGGAATAATTATAAAGAAAAAAATTGCACTGCTTCGTCCCATCCGGCCCCAACTTTATCACTAAAGGTAATCGTTTCTTCTTTCATTATTATTTTCTTTCAACCATGACAATAAACACTTTTCAGCTAATAACTCATCAGTGGAAAGCTATTCAAATAATTTTACACTGATAACACAACAAACGTGGAACTGGAAAGAACCTTGCTGATAATTTGAATCTCTCAGTATTCAAATACCTGGAATGCCTGCTCCTCTTGCATGTCAAAATAGAAAATCCTTAAGAAGGATTTGTAATACAATTCTTCCTGTCTACACCAGACAGAATTGACTTTTCCTGTTTTTGTGCACCCATATCTCATATACAACACTCTCTACATCGTTCAACCACAGTATGTTTCCATTGTAAGACCTGGAGTTTCATAAGCATAGGACCCAGTCATACTTGTCTATGGATCCACAATGCCTAGCTAAATAGGTAGCCCACAGAACATCCTCACATTTGCCTCAATAAATGGTTGCTGAATTGACTTGAGTCAAAGGAAGCACTGAAGGCCAAGAAGCTGAACGACTGGCCAATGATCATACACAGCTAGAACAAGAACTCACTACACCAGCAGTCCTCTCTCTCCTCTTCCACACCAACTCCCTATATTACAAAACATGATCCTAATGGCTCATTATTTTATTGTCTTTCAAAACCAATTGTTCTTCCTAGAACACTGAAGCAACTCTTCCTCTAGGAGGAGGTATCTTTCTCAGCTTCAAGAAAAAGGAATCTGTTTTGCCCAGTATTAAATAATTTGATAAAAGCTGGTAAAACAGAAAGGTTTTTACACATGCAAATCTGCCCTTGCACCCAATTTCAATTCTCTTATTTTCCTGATCTATATTCCTGCTCTCCAGATGGACCATCAGCTTTATACCAATGCCAGCAACAGCTTGTGTATTGTTTGTTTAAAACAAAGATGATGGATTAAATATCATATGCAATGTGAGGAAAGAGGTTAAGGCTAATATTCCTGTTCTGAAATATATCATTAAGCCAAACCATGTAGCCTTCCCCCCTCACTGGATTTGTATAAATAAAGATTTAATTTTATTTTTCAGAGTCATAAGAGGAAGCATGCATTCATCTAGAATATGGAGCCTTTCCATCGCTCCAGATTTATTCTTGTTCTAAGGCATCATTACCCTCCAAATTATACAGACTTATGTCATTTCACTGAAACACTCATTCACCCATCACATGCCCAGATCCAACAGTAACACTTTTGTTTTAGAATTATGCCAAAATGAGCAAACTTGAAATTCTTTCACCTATATTTGAGTACTATGCAAAATGTCTTGAATCATCTCAAATAAATTCCAACCAAAAAATCTACAATTTCAATACAAAATATACAAACGAAAGAAATCACAGTGTAGGTCTCTCTCTCTGTACCCTCTGCACTATTACATGAAGCTGCCTACAAAACAGCTGCCAGTAGGATGGCCTGCGTATCAAAACCAGCCTCACTATGCAGGTTTCCCGCCCTGGCTGTGGGCTCTGTCCTATGTATTTGAATGTTGTCTCCATTAGAAAAATGATTTAAGGGAGGAAAAATTACATTTAGAAGCTAGAATGGAAGAACGTGCAAAATACAAAGATAATTCCATAAAGGGATTCTGATGATAGGATATCATTTAAGTAGATTATCATCAACGGAAGAATACTGATTAGGGGTTAGAAGTCCCACAGGGAATCTCTCTAGAAGAATCCAAAAGTAGAACTCTCCATTTCTCCTGGATACATGGACATACGTACTGAGTAGAAATGAAGAGCTTGGGCTGGGTGGGGGAGAGCATTAGGAAAAATAGCAAATGCATGCTGGGCTTAAAACCTAGAAGATGGCTGACAGGTGCAGCAAACCACCATGGCACACATTTACCTATGAAACAAACCTGCACATCCTTCACACGTACTCCAGAACTTAAAAATTTAAATTAAAAAAAGAAAAGAAATGAGCAGCTCATCTGGAACAGACAGAAATGCAGAGTCTAATCCTAGACACAGTCCACACATTGGTTTCTGGACCAAACATTCTATTACTCTGCCATTTCTACCAACTGGTCAGGTTAAAACTTTATTAAGGCTGGAATTTGGCCCTCCCCAGTTGCACCATGAAGAGAAAATATTTAAAGAAAGGTGTTTTGCAACTCCTTTGTTTGGGATTAGTGATACAATCTGTAGTGCTACCACCACTTTCTAGATGCCAGCTCAATTACCACCTTTTTTTATGTCAGGAGAGAATAGTAGGTAGGGTGTATGTCTAACGAGACACTCAGCAACACCGTGCAAACTCTGGGATACATGCAAGTTAGTCTAAAACTTTACAATATAACTCTTACAGCAACTTGACTGCTGAAAGCACAGTTAATCCAGTCTTACTGCACTATAACTCTTTACCAGTTTATAATACCGGATTGCCATCTTCTCTTGTTAGTTTGCACATGTGAGCATATTAGTAGACTAAAAGGCATACACAAGCATCCAGACAAATAAAAAGAAACTATGATACAGTATGTTCCCATTCGTGGTATTAAAAAAATGGCCACAAATACATGATGGGTAAAATGACACATTAATAAACTTAACTTTTAAATATGGAAAACTCCCATTCACAATCACAAAATATACATTTTATGTAGGACCTGGATGCTAAAATGTGCGTTAAATGAAACCTATGGTCCCTTATAACTATAACATCCTATGATGCTTTGAGTGTCTTTTTATGTATGTATTTGCTTGGATTTTTTTTCTTGTCAGGGAAGGTAGCTCCAGCCTCCTTCTGGAATAGCTTTCCACCTACATATCTTCCTACTGCAATGACACAAGTTGAGCTGACTGCACAGTGATGTAACTTCAGGATTAAAAGAAAATGAAAAAGAGAGTTCTACCCCAGTCCTTCATGCTATCACCACCAGGGTCCAGCTAGTGAACATTTTGTTTTATCAAAATACTAGAGGCTACACTAAAATGGTTCCTAACAGGTTAGGTTAAAAAATTTTCCTTTCTTTTAACTTATTGAGGGTAAGAGGGAGAAAATTACAAGGAGAGCAGAAAGATTCTTTTATGTTACACATCTACCTATGGAGTACAAATCCTGTGTCCCATAAAGAAAACTCTATTTGTGCTGAATGTATATTTACCATTTCCTGCTAATGAAGTAAAAACTGATTCCAGATGAACAGAAAAAATATTTTAATTTTCACTGAAAATTAATTCCAGGGCAAAAATGCAAGGCAGTTTTTTTAAAACCTATAACTCTGTTGATCCATTTCTGATTTCCTGTGCACGCATTTTACTCCCTAGAATTCTTGGGGAGGAGGAGGGTCAGTTTGTGATAATACAGCATACTTTTACATTCCGAGCAAAAGATTGCTAATTTCTATCTAGAAACCAAAGAATTCACATGTTTTCTTTCCCAAAAGAGAAGGTTTTTTAAACAGCAATAAAATAACAGCATAGCATATTACCTAATAAAACAAGAGTTCAAAGAGCCCTGGGAAAAGCAGAGTTAAAGATGATCACTTAATCAACCTTAACTCACACTAGGATATTTAGCTATTGCATCATTTGCAGTACACAAGTCACACGCTGTCCTCAGTCCACTCCATTGAGTAACAGACAATGCAATGCTTTAAATTTGATTTCCTAATGTCCTAGATGTCAATTTAAGACCTTACAATGCTAATACTTTTATCATAAATGTACTGAAGATTTTTTAAACTGTCCCTGATATTATGGCTAACAGATACTGTTCACAAAATATATTACAAGGCACTAATTAGATATCATAAAATGCAAAGTATGGCCGTGTTCAAGTTTTAAATCTAAAGTGAGAAATTGTAAACTTGAAAGGATCTTATGCCCCAGAAATTTCTTTTGACTTTTAATTTCCAATATTTCCATTCTCCTTAAATTTAGAACCAGCAAGCTATTTAAAAAGTAGTTTGTGGAAGAGCCACTTTCAGTTTTAAATGGACTTAACTGCAGATTGTTAATAACTTCCAAAATGCAAACTGTAGAAGGCCTCGTATGTGCTACCTTGATCACTTTTAAATAAATTTCCAATAATGTCTTTTGAGATGGGACCAGAAAAATGACTTTATTGCTTCCCCAAAGGCTTCACTTACAAGCTTATCACTCTTTTGATGGCAGCTCTGTGTGACTGAAAACTGTCACGGTCACGGCAGACATGAAATAAGTGGACATTAGAATAACAAAACGACCAGAGTGTGCCTGGAATGCTCAACCCTGTGTAGTAACAAACGTTGATTTTGATTCTAACAATATTTCCAAACAATCCTTAAATCTGGCAGACAGAAAGAATACTAATCACCTAGATAAATGTGTTTCTTCTACATTCTGGAGGAGTGCCATAAGAATATATCAAGTTTAGTAAGCTTATGTGAGTGGCTCACTGTCCCACTTGGCATTACTTATTGAATTTCATATTATTTTATTAGGATGTTGATACAGACACTATGTAAAACTCTACAATTAAGTTAATTCAATCTTGTCATCTCACATAATTACAAATATTACAGAGCTCAAACCAAATCAATGGCCAAGTGTACACCACAAGATTTAAACCAATGAAATCTGGTTTGACATACAGAAACCATAAAATTCAAGAAGGGGGAATGAATCCCTTTACCTTGGCCTTGATTATCCAAATATGTTACCCATATAGATCAGATTTCTTTGCGATGTGGGCATAACCTACATGCAGGTAATGAACTACCAACCCTCTAAATATGCAAACTTCTTCCTTCAAATGTTTATTTTTCAAACAATATCAAAGTTGGTAAGACACAGATGAGCAGGGCATACAGAGGCAAGGCTGTTAAAATTTAAGAGCATTAAATACAAATATCTACTCACCAGGTATCAACCTGATGCATGATTACTAATTCTTCACGGAAAATCTACATACTCTCATAATAAGTATTTCTTCACCCAAGAAGGCAAGCAAACACTATAATGAACACACATTTTGATAATAAAGATTTTCAGTTATAATAAGTAACTCAAACCTTCAAACCTAAGAATTGAATGTTTTTTAATTCAAATTTTAAAGTTTCTTTAGTCTGAGTCCATGCAAAACTTTAGCAAGAACTATCACAAGTTATTTCAGTCATACAAATTATTTAATGAGCACCCATGCAATCTATGCCAAATAAAAATGAAGAACAGTGCAATGCCAACTTCTCTGATTAATGCATCCTTAGCTTACATTTCCATACAGTTTCTCTTAATTAAAGACAAACAGAAATTTCCTCTTACTAAACAATTTTACGTTCAAGTTTACTTTCTAGAGCTATTTCTAAAAGTGTATATCATTTGTTTTGCTGAGTAACTGAATTACCTCATATGATAAAGCTATTAATTATGTGGACCTGGTAACAAAGGAAGAGCACTTGGCACAGGAACAGAGACGAGAGAGTTTACTAGTGGGGTGGACTTTGGGCCTTGAGTAAGCCAGGTTTTGTAAGTAACACCAGGGGGAAACATACCTACATAAAAGCTAAAATTACCAATTATACGTGCAAATATTTAAGATTTCACAGGAAAAGATTAGCTAATTAAAAAGGTTTGAATACATTATACCTTTCAAAGGGAGATCATAATTTATTGTAATAATTTTTCTGAAAAAATTAGCCTGAATAATTTCCTGGTTGTATTATAGGAGGAAAAGACCTATAATATCTTTCATATTCTGTACATTTTTTCAAAGACTACTGAGATGTTTTCCTAGATCAAAGCGATCCTCCTCTGGTCTGGATGGCTACAGCAATTATTTCCTTGAATTATGTTTCACACTTGCCCTCTGCTGCTATAACAGCACATTCCAAAGCCAAATGGACCTGGATTCAAATGCTGCCTTTACCACCACTGCCTATTCTGTGTAACCCTGTGGCAAGCTGCTCTCCCGCCAATATGAACTTTATTTAGGTCACTCTCCCTTAACTGTCCAGCCATAATGGCCTTCAGTCTCTGGTACACACACACACACACACACACACACACACACACACACACACACACACACTCATCCCGACCAAACTTTTTGCACTTGGTCTTCTCCTTACTTGGATGCTTAGTATGAATGCGGCCTCATCCTTCACATTCCCATCTAAAGCAGGTCCTCTTAGTTATTCTCTATCACCTTGCCTGTTTCCTTTAGAGATCTATCACATTAGAAATTATTTTGTTTATGTACCCACATACTGTTTCCCACACTCAAAGTGCACACTCCATGAGACCAGGGCTGTCTCTGTGCTGCTCACTGCTGTACTCCCAGTATCTAGCACACTGCCTGGTATACAGTGGGCAGCCAACAACAGTTGGCTGAATAAATAAACCACCTAAAATAATATTGATTGAAAACATCATTACATATAGAATTATTTTCTCCATTCAGATTCCCAGAAGTGATCATGCTGATTCTGAATAAGAATTCTTTTCCTTTCTTTAGCCAGACAATATTTCTTTTTTTTCTTTTCTTTTTTTTTTTTTTGTTCTTTGAGACAGAGTCTCACTCTGTTGCCCAGGCTGGAGTGCAGTGGTGCGGCCTCAGCTCACTGCAACCTCCACCTCCCAGGTTCAAGTGATTCTCCTGTCTCAACCTCCTGAGTAGCTGGGATCACAGGCGCCTGCCACCATGCCTGGCTCATTTTTTGTATTTTTAGTAGAGATGGGGTTTCACCATGTTGGCCAGGCTGGTCTTGGACTCCTGATCTCAGGCAATCCACCTGCCTCAGCCTCCCAAAGTGCTGGGATTACAGGCTTGAGCCACCACGCCCGGCCAGCCAGACGATGTTCCATAATTTGTGCCCCACTGGAAAGCAACTAATGAACTGGTACCTACTTTTATCACGAGATTATAGAAAATTTGAGGCTACAGACTATGTCATATGCTTTCATCACTAAGCTCAAAGCCTTGTACCCAGCAGGTGCTCAATAAATACATTTGAGAGCTTTAATACTAAATAATAAACTGCAGTCTGTCAGGACACCAAATTATCAAGCAACGATTATTAGTGAAATATACGATAACCTTGTAAAACACTCAAGATGTCTGCCAAGTAATAGTAAAACACAAAAATAGGTGCTGTATAGTTACATTAATATAAAAACTATGCCTATATAGTTACATTAATATAAAAACTGTGCCTATCCAGGAATCTACATTTTTTTTTCCTGTTCTTAACATTATTGCAGACTTGACAATAAAGGATTAAGGTGGAGAGAAACTAGTTCCTAAACATAAGACCTTAAACTTTCAGGAGGAAAAAAAAATGGTATTAGGGACACCAAGTTAATCCTATATCACAATCCAGTGATTCATTAGAAACATTCTTCTCTCTGGGGCTCATTCTTCCATCACTATGGAGGGATTTATATCCATAACCTCCATTAACATTAATGGAAGGTAGCCACATAATTTCACCAGAAGTCCACTAGAGAATCGGGCCTATAAGAGAAAAAGCTTTCATTTATTAAGTTTATAAAGAATTCCTAGTATAACACAAATAGCGGTGTCTCTGTTAACTGCCCTGATGGGTGCAATCATGCTGGAGAGGGTGAAATTGAACAATTAAACTAATTCTGCTATATTCACAGAAAATATAGTTCATAAAGCTACATGCTTCTAATACCTTCCTCTCAACAAGAGACTATCCTTTGATTCCCTACTGTAATTTCAAAAGCAAATAGTATTTTAAAAGTATTTCTTGTCATAAAAAAGGCATGCTTTAAAATGGAATGTTCTAACAAAATACACTCACACATGCAGGAAATAAGGAATTTACAAGCCAACACAAGGTCATTATTTAATTTTTAATTAGGTTTCACCTAACAATGGAAAACTAAGTCTTCCTTCATCCATTTAACAAAATGCTCATTTAGAATACTCCATGGCTTAGAAAGCTTCTGAACAGATGTCTAAAATGAGAATTCAAGACTCAGGAAAATATGAAACTCACTTTACTCTGTTCTCAAGTGATGTGATAAACAAACAGCCTCACCCACTGCAGTCATCGTTGATAATTTATTTCTAGAGTCTGATGACTATACGGCAATTCACTTTGCTGATGAAACATTCTTTATTTGGGTGGGATGCACACAGAAAACAACTTAACGAATGTCATTCCCACAAGATAACAGACCATCGAGAAGATGCATGCCAGGCAGTACTGCATCAAAAAACCGCTTTTCACCTATCAGAAGATGCCTTAACAACTGACAGTGTTTATCAAGTGCACAAAACGTTGTTCCTGCTAAGCACAGTTTCAGAGCCAACTCTGTTTCTTCATTAAGGTCATCTAAACTTTCTATGCCCATGTTTTCTGCATATTTGCACTAAAAATCCTTACACTTGCAATTATTTATAGCAGTACTGGAAGTGGCAGATATGTACTGTAAGTTATTTTCATTTTGTTAATTAACTTAGGGTCTCATTTTCACTGTATACAAGGGCTTCCTCAAATTCCTAAGACAATTCTACTGATAACTGAGAACTCTCCTTCTCCAAGGTTATTTTAGGGTCTCTAATTTGGGCTTTGCTTTTATACCATTTAACTTTGTTGTAGCTGAGGAGCCCTAAGATGACAAGAAATCAGCATCATATTTAAACTCTCCCAGGGGAGGAAAAAAGGGGACTCCTCAAAACAAGGCAAAAAAAAAAAAAAACAGAAGACATGGCAGACACTCCTCAGATAACCACTGGAGGAAAGGCAGAATCCAGCTGCAGAGTGAAAGAAGAAAAAGAACAGGGAGAACTGTGGTCTTCACCACCTTTTTAGAGTTTCAAAAGTTTCATACTTTAAATTTATCGAGGGAACGTGAGGTTTCAAATGTACATTTGGGCCAAACTTTATGCCAAGGGATAACATGTCAAAGGCACCATATGTGGACCTTCTCCCTCTCTGGGGCAAGGGCAAGTGGACAAATGTTTTCAACATTGCCCATGAAGTTGGGAAGTTTCTCACGGGCAGCCTTGCTCAAGGGTCAGCACGAGGTAAAGCACGGGTGCTTGCTGAAGGAACAAGGATGGAAGTGAAGCATTACACACTCTATGCATGTGTGCTCTGCCTCCACGTGCCGTGTCCAGAACACACGCTACATATGCCCATCTCCATGCTCTGTCCCTGCAAGTCCCTTGCCAACCTTCGAGGCCCTGCTTTAGGTCATCTCCTTCACAGAAGCCATCCTCATTCTCTCCAGCTCAGAATCAACCCTGTTCTCTCCCTGGCCAAGTAAATCCCTTGTAGTCTATGTGTAAGACAGCATTTAATACATTTTGCCTCTTCCCCTTTGAATCTAGGGACATCTGGAAGGGAAGCCCAGCTTCCTGTTTTTCTCTATATTTCTTCTACCAACCTGTACCATGTTACCTTACTTCCAGTAAGTTATCAATATATATTTGCGGCTGGGTGCAGTAGCTCACACCTGTAATCCCAGGACTTTGGGAGGCTGAAGTGGGTGGATCACCTGAGGTCAGGAATTCAAGATCAGCCTGGCCAACATGGTGAAACCCCGTCTCTGCTAAAAATACAAAAAGTTAGCTGGGCGTGGTGGCCTTTGCCTGTAATCCCAGCTACTCAGGAAGCTGAGCAAAGAGAATAGTTTGAACCCGGGAGGTGTAGGTTGCAGTGGGCCAAGATCGCACCACTGCACTCCAGCCTGGGTGACAGAGTGAGATTCTAACCAAAATAAACAAAAACAAAACAAAACAAACAACAACAAATATATATATATTCACTTAATGTTGAAATGAATACTTCTACCTATGCCAGTGTATTCCAGCTTCCTGTCTGAATATTATATCCACTTTTCTCCTGATTATATTAAAATACCCAAAATGTGGTGTTTGAGATCAAATCTTTTCTAGTGTCTTGAAGGCACTCAGATTACATACTATGAACAAGGTAAATATAGAAAAGTGACAAGAGTGAAAAAAGTCACCATGCATACCATGTCCAAACTTATCAATGATAAACCATTAAAAGATAAGAAGAAAAGTCCAGGTCTTTCTCCTGAGTAACTCTGACATGACCTCAGCTTCCAATGAAGAGCAAATATTGACAATGAAACAGGCCACCCTCAAAGAGAAACGTGCTCCCTTAAAGCCAACTTTTAAAAAAATATAAGAAAAAATAATCTGGAAATAATTTTCCTCTGAAAGGAGAAAGGAAATAATGTTTTTTGCTTTATGTTTTGAGAAAGGATCTTGCTCTGTTGCCCAGGCTGGAGTGCAGTGGTACAACTGAGGCTCACTGAAGCCTCAATCTCCCTGCTCAAGTGATCCTCCCACCTCAGTCTCCTGAGTAGCTGGGACTACAGGCAAAGGCCACCACACCTGGCTGACTAAAAAAAAAAAATTTTTTTAAGATGGGGTCTTGCTATGTTGTCCAGGCTAGAATGTTCATTTTTTTTCTACATAGGTCTTTCTACGTATATAGAATTTGTTGCTATTTTAAGATAACAAAGAAATAACATGTGTTTTATCGTATAATGTTATTTTTGAAGTTTCAAGTACTACTCAGAATCAGAAACCATGTATTATCTCAAAAGTGCTCTTGCCATTTTGTATATTTTGTTTATGATATTACTCAGGGCACAGGAAATAAAAACCATCATGATTTATAATTTTGTGCCGAGACAAAGCTACTGTTCCACTGTCTGTCACTCTACTCTTGTTTTCAATGCTCCCTACATTTGGACTTCATGATTAATCCTTTCAAAAAAAACCTCTTGAAGCATGTCATATCCCTGTTCAAAAACCCTACATGATTCTTACTGCCTAGATCTTTAAATTGGCATTCAATACCCTCCGCTATGTAAACCCCCCATTCTAACCAAACTCGCCAACCGACCTGCTCTAGGACAAATCGTGCATATGTCTGCTTCTGCAGCTGTGCTCACGCCTTTCACCTGCTCTCCAACTCTTCTCTCCACCATGGCCTCTGCTCATTCTCTCATTTCCAAACAATCCTTCATCCACAACTCAAATCAGTTTTACCCAAGAAGCCTTCCAAATGGTCTCAATTCAGCATAAATTCTCTTTCAGATTTCTACCAAACATATTCTCTTTTTTTTTTTTTTTTTTTTCTGAGATGGAGTTTCACTCTTGTTGCCCAGGCTGGAGTGCAATGGTGCACTCTCAGCTCATTACAACCTCCGCCTCAACGGTTCAAGCAATTCTCCTGCCTCAGCCTCCAGAGTAGCTGGGATTACAGGTGCCTGCCACCATGCCTAGTAATTTTTTTGTATTTTTAGAAGAGACTGGGTTTTGCCATGTTGGCCAGGCTGGTCTCAAACTCCTGACCTCAGGCAATCCACCTGCCTTGGCCACCCAAAGTGCTGGGATTCCAGGTGTGATCCCCTGCACCTGGCCCACCAAACATATTCTCATTTGGTATTTAAAAATGTCCCTAAGAAGAAGTATGTTTCATAAAGCACGTCTACACTGTATATCTAGGATGACATCCTTCACCAAACCTAGTACAACTGATACAAACCTGTGAATTAAGAAACTTATCTCAAAGACAGTGATTTATAAGCCTTATAGAATCAAATTAAAGAATATATTGAAAGACTGTAATAAATTAGGATTAGCTATATATTATAAACAAAATGTTTTCAAAAGACGTACCATTTTAAGGAGAAATTTTCATTCCAATCTTATTCCTGATCTTATCACATTTTTAGGGCTAATGAAACACTAGAAATACTATTATAAATGAAGCATGCTAATTTTAATTCCTCAATCCACAGTCACTATAAAAATTAACAATAAAAAATCCTAAATTCTGCAGATGACATTGTATGTCCATATATGCACGATGTAATTAATGCAAGTTCAACAATAATAATCAATGCATATGAAATGAATGTTAGGCCTACAAAAGAAAGTGCAGCAGACTTTTGTGGGTTAGTATGAAAACGTCATTAATCCATTGTATGCAAACATGTCTCTAATTTTAAATGAGTTTTAAAGAAGATAGTTTATTAAATCACCCTCTAGGAAGCTAATGGCAATTGGGTGGCCATTAAACAGTAAGTTTCTGATTACAGATGTGAGCTATCACACATATAAGATCTGGGTAAAAACTACCTTTAATATACACCCTTAATTTTCAACAACAACAAAAAGACAATTACAAGACAATCTTAAGAGTCCAGCAATAGCCAAAAGAAACCTTTGACCATCAATAAATGACAGGAGCAGCTTAAAACTCTTATGTGTGCAAATGCACACACTTATCTACATGCATGCACACATATACACACACATACACCTTCATCATAACACCTAGTAAGTCATGGTTACTCTGTACTACTACATATAAATGATACTGTACCTTGATTTTAATTTCTTGTTATCATTACTTTAGGAACCAAAGTGTTGTGTGTGTTCAATTTTAAAAGTATACTAAAAATGAAGGATTCTAAAAAGAATAGAGAAATATATTATTAAGAAAATTGAAAACATTTATTTTTAAAAGGACACAGCTCAACATACTAAAGACATACTTAAGCTGCCAATTTTTAGAGCATAGTTTTTTTTTAAAAAAAAAAAATCTTTCTATTTTGGACAAATAGGATTAAGCTTCTTAGACAATTCTTTGTTGTTTTGACTTCAACAATTTATGCAAATGAGATGTTAATTAGTGTAATTGTAACTTAAATTATGCTTGTGTAAACCTCTCCATTGGTAGAAAAGTGTGGGAATCTACACAACTGGTATTTAAAGTAGCTGTACTAACTCACTTCTGAAAGACCAGCATAGCAAGATCACTTTCATGTCTTTACAATTTGTTTTTATGAGGTGATAACATTTTTACAAATACCATCATTTTTGGTTTTTTATATTGTAAGTGACAGTCTGACATTTTACAACTGGCTTATTGAAAACAAGAATTGAGCACTCTAGCAGTAACGGACATTAACTGCTGAATAGAGATTCAGATGCTAATGAGGTGAGAGGGGCTCCAGAAAGTTTTGATAAATGCTACACACACTCTAACTAGCTGTGAATGTGGGTTGACAAAGAACATCTACACCAGGGTTCAATAAAATGTAACCCTTTAAATTAATCATACTGGCAGTATTTAATAGAATGCACAACAATCTCCTTTTCTGTTGGCTATAAAGCTGAAGAAATGCAAAGTCTTCACAAATGAATGTTCCCACATTCCCCACTCCACATTGCTACTTTCATTTGAACGTCTACAGCTGTTTCAAAAGTACTTACTGTAAATAGCAAAGTATAAGCAGATTTCAGAGTCTGACTCTTTCACAACATGAGATATAATTTTTTCTTCATTTTTACACCTAGAGTTAAACAAAAAGTCCTAAGTAAGAAAAAACTCTGAAGATCTGAGTGCTCAGTACAGAATAAGCGCACAGTAGGTTCTCAATAATGGCAGTTATTGTTATAGGAAAGATCTGGCAACTTATAAAAAGAAAAACCATCTGCTCACACAGGAAAAAATAAGAAAATTCAGGAAGTAAAGCAAGCATTCAGTCTTCAAATCTACAAACTTAAAGTAGGCCTTTGTTCTTCAGGGACTGTGAGGAAAACTATTTCATAGCTTTTGTGAAGAATTCATCTTATATAGAAGGAAAGTAATTATGTCCTATTAAGTAAACCTATAATGAGTCTTAATTCTAACAAGTGTCAGAGAGCCTCTACTTATTTTAATTTTTGATGCTCATATTAATCAAACTCTTCTATTGATTGCAAACTTGTAAGTTTCAACAGACTACAGTTCAAGAGATCACTCTTACATTTCTTAAGCAAATGCAGAACATTAACATGTTATTTCTTCTTAAAGTGACAATCCCTAATATCCTTTTTGGTTTTTGCCAATTTTAATCTTGGCAGGAAGTGGAAATCTGTGCACTCAGCAACACTGCAAGCTTGCTGGCTGTCAAAATTATGTCTCAGCCAATGCCTGAGTGGTATTCTTGTCATTTCACCATGGTAAGAAACTTATCAGTCTGACATATAAATCCTCTAAAAGTAGTGATTTATGCCAAAATGTAGATACACTTACCCACCACCTAAATTTCGCTTTTATAACTCCTGCAATTATTACAACTTCCCCTAATTATATATACAGATTGTAGGATGCTTTAAAAAATCCAGAGAATATGACTCAAATAGCTTCAGATTAAGACAACTGAATTTTAAAAGTACACATTTTTCTATACTGATACGTGTGTGTGTATATATATTTGTTCGTATGCTTGCCCGCAGATACTGCATATTTTTTAAAAAATCATTTTCTCCCAAATAATCTCTATGTGAACTATATATTTTTCACCTAAAAAATTAATCACTTCACAATATGCTGCATAAAAATGATACCTTTACCCCTCGACAAGCACTGGGTTACTCTTTGACTTTTCTAAGAGTAAAAACTCTCATGTAAAAAAAAAAAAAAGTGAACAAGTAGACAAATGTGTGCTATGGTTTGGAAATGGCCATTTAGCCAAATTGCATACCTGTGCTGTGTCAGCACCAGGCAGAGTCATCTCATTCCACTGGTCTAATGGATGGCAATTGAATTTAATTAACAAAACTCCTTTGACTTAGTTTCATACTGTGCTGAATGTAATGGAATCCTCTCTGCCCCCCTTATCTCTCTCTCTTTCACTCTCTCTCAACTAAAAATTGTCCTTAACTAACATCCACTTTAAGAATATTAAAGGCTATACATTATACTTAAAAGATACAATACAGTCATCCCCCTTTCCATGACTTAAATTGTATAACATAAAATAATTAAAAAGATACTTTGATAGTGATACACAGTATAGATTCAATTACCACAAGGTCTCCATTAAAGGTACTTTTATAGTATGAATAAAATGCAAATCCTCTTTGTGGATCAATACCAGAACATAATTCTACTCTTCCTCCTAAAAAAGGAAGTTAACTATTATAAATAATCTTCACATGAAAATGGTAAAAAGGTATTCCTTTGAAAATGTTCTGTTAATCTCAATATATTAAGAATGTTATTTTCTGTGTTACACCCATTTTAAAATTATGTATTCTAGCACTATCTGATAAAACCGATAAACAGAAAACTTTTTGACCATTATTTTTCATATTTATTTAAATGCTTGTCACTAAATTCAGAGGCATTTCAATTAATTAAATAATATTTTCTAAATAAAATAAAGAACACACCAAAAAAAAATACTCATAAGAGATTCTCAGTAAATATTATTACTCTGCCTAACTTTTGCCTGGCTGGGCACTCTGAGACAAGTTCCTATGATTGATTATTGTGGTATCTCTGAATCTTTGACTTTGAACCATAACCTTTTTTGTGAACAATGACAGTTGGGACCTACCATTTGCCATCTGTAGAGATGGAGGGGGGAAAAGGACTTCTCGTACATTAATCAACCAATTAAGAACAGACTTAAACAAAACACTAAAGCATAATAAACCCCTGACTGCTTAATAGCTTTCTACTCTTAATAGTTGTCTTCCTGCAGTCTGCTCACAAGATTAGAAGAGTAATCTATTCAAGTCTTAACAAAAATTACATGAGGAAAAAGGAAAAAGTAAACCCATGCAAACCAGACATTTTAAATTGTAAAAAACAGAATGCTACTTAAGGGTTCTATAGTTCAAATCAAAACGTAAGAGACTGAGCCACACAACACAGTATCAAAAAATCTCATCAGTATGAAATATGGTAATTCTTTTCCCTGAAATACCTAAAATAATTAATTCATACAAATGAGCCTTATATTTTGAAATTTTAGATGACTGCATTCTTTAAAAACACTATTTACCCACTAATTAACAGATACTATACCACTTGGCATAAAGTAATTTGTGAGGAGAATCTGAGGTTTCAATTATGGTAGCATATACCAAACCATAAAATTTTTAAAAATAAGAGGAAAATTAACAAAACTAGGTCAGGTCTTGTCCTTTCTCTGATTAAAATGTGAGCAGCGAAAGTAATATTTAAATATTAAGGCATTAACTCTGATTCATTCAGGGATTAAAAATAAATAGGAAATCAAGAAAAAAAAATCAAGAATGCCCACTATCACAGGTTAATTTAACACTGAGTTGCAGATCTCAGTGCAATGAGAAGGGTAAGGAAGATAAAAGCATAGAATAGAAATGAACATCTTTCTCACTGTTTGCATTTGATATGATTATCGAAATAGTAAACAAAAAAGAACTTACCAATACATTATTGGCTAAAAATATGTAAATATCGCTGAATATAAGATCACTATACACAAAGTAACTGTATTTCTATACTAGAAATTAGAGTTAAAAACAAAATATTAAAAACAATTTACAAAAGCAGCTTCACAAAAGTGTTCAAAACCTGGTGAAAAATAAAATTCAGTGTAACCAAGAATAAGATCTAAATAAATGAAGAGACATACCATGTTCATAGATAATAATATTTGATAGTTAAAAAAAGATGTCAATTTCCTTTATCTGTAGATTCAATATATTTCTAAACAAAGTCCCAATAGGATGTTTCACAAAACTTGACAAAGTAATGCCATGATATATATGGAATAGTGAGGGGTAAAGAATAACTAAAAAATTTATTTCAAAAAGAGGTGTGAAATTTTGCTTTATCAAGACTCATTATAAGGGCTTAGTAAGTGAAAAATTGTGGTGATGGTATAGGGCAGACAAGTTGATCAGTGTAACAGAGCAAAGAATCCAAAAACAGACATACACAAATATAAAAAATAAATGACAGAGGTATCATTTTACATTATTTGGGGAATAGAGAAATTATTCAATAAGTGATAAAGTGAAAACTGTCCATTCATACAGAATAAAATGAAATTGGATCCCTACCTCACACCATACACAAATTCCGGATGGAATACAAACCTAATGTGAGATGAACACTTAAAAGATATACAAAAAATACCATATACTTCTAAACTTGGAGTAAAAAAGGATATCTTCAACAAGACAAAAAAGCAATAACCATGTGATAAAGATTGATAAATTTTACTGTATTAAAATTAAGAATTTTTGTTGATCAAAGATAACATGAAGAAAATTTTAAAACAAGCCAGAAACTACGAAAATATATTGGCAAACGTACACTGGCCAAAAATTAGAATGCAGAATCTATAAAGAACTCCTACAAACCAATAAGTAAACAATAAGCAATAAAATAGAAAAAAATGAATAAATGACAAAAACATTTATTCCACAGTAAAGTGGCTCATACATATACAAAAAGATGTTTAGTCTCATTAGTAATCAAATTATAAATGCAAATTAAAAACACAATGAAATACTCTTTTTTAGCCTCAAGATTGGCAAAAAGAAAAATCTGGCAGTGCCAAATTCTGGAGAGAATGCAGATCAACAGAATTTTTTGTATACTGCTACAGCGAGTGATCGTATAAACAGGCATAACTTGTTAGTAAGATAAAATATCACTATCTTTTCTTAAAAAAAAAAACTTAACATTTACACACCCTGTAATTCAACAATTTAAGTCCTAGGCACATACCATAAAGAAACTTTTACACACTTGCTCTAGAAGACATGTTACAGTTCATAGCACTTGCTAAGACCAAGAAACTGGAAACCTTCTATAGATCCATCACAGAATATTACACAAGAAACAATAATAAATTACAGTATATATGACATTATGAACATATTGTAGAGTGAAAAAAAGCAATTCCCAGAAGTGTGTGTGTATATGTATTTATATATATATATGTATGTATATGTATGTGTGTATATATGATTTTTTATAAAACTTAAAAAAACAAGCAAAACTGAACAATATATTTAGTACCTATGAGTGATAAACCATTTATTTTATAGGAGGGGAATTACAAACACAAAATTCAGGATAATAGGAGGAATTTCAGGGTAATGGGAGAGGAAAAGAACACACAGGTAAATGAAAGGTATTGGTTGTTATCTTTCTTGGTTCACAGATTTTCAGTTCATACTATGTGTTATAAGTTACATATATATTTATATTAAAAATAAAGTGAAAATAAGAAATTAAACCAGGAATGTTTGTTACAATAAAAGAATTTTCCACGATATTCTACAGCTTTTTAGCAACAGATTTGAAAAATTTTAAAAGAAATACATTTGGATTTCCATTTTGAATTATTTTACTAACACGATCTTTTTCTCCAAGAAAATACAATAATAATCAAATTTGGGGGAAATGTCATTCTTTTTTATTTGACTAATGTGAATAATTTGTAGTTAAAATCTAATCTCAGCTCCCCATGCAAACAGGGAGGGTGCAGTGAGGAGGAGGTAACTCCAGCATGGACAAACTCAAACAACAGCTATCCAAATGTATGTCTGACTTAAAATGCATTATCCAGTCTTTTAATATTTCATTTTATGTCCTGTTTATGTCTGGTTTAAAATAAACTTCCATTCTTGAGAAGGGGCTAAGAATGAATGATCCAGGTTGCTGTAAATAGCTGTGCTGTAATATATATGCTGTAAATATACAGTGTCATATATCATATATATGAAGAAATATATATATGAATAAATCAGTAAGATATAGATAGATAGATAGATAGATAGATAGATAGATGCATGAGAGAGAGAGAGAGGATTTTTGTGGTTTGGCAGAAGGGTGATAAATGAGTTCAAAGCTTCCCTCCAGTGGTAATATTCAATATCTGGTTACAGAACCGAGATTCTACAAATAATCTCCAAAAAACAATTTTTTTTTAACCAAGTGAACATGAGTGGCACACGACAGTCAAGGATGAATTTAACTGAATTGGGGAATTCTTTCATCAAAACCCAAGTCAGAATTTCAGCACACCCACTGTTGTAGGTGCACAGATATGCAATTCTTTTTTTAAAAAGTATGTTTCAAAATGCCTTCCTAGGTGTGCTAAGTCAAGAAATGGCAATAGCAATGTCCATCCATCCATACTTTGCCATAATGGAAATAATCTTCTCTCAAATACAAAAACATAATCAGAAAATTAAGTAATAATTAAATGAGTTAGAATTTCACTGATAAGCATTATACTCACTGATATAAAGTTACTCTCTACCAATCAAGATCTCTCCAAGATGTTCCCATCTAAATATGCACTTCTCACAACCTGAGATGTGTTCAACTAGCAACATCAAACAAGAAAAAGACGAGCACCACAAGAAAGGCCATGAATTCATTTCTGTAGCATCAACTACGTGATTAAGTTAAAAATAACCAATTTTATCTAAGATGCTATAATTCTGCTAATTAAACATCTTGTTTAGAGATCAGTAATACCCTAAGGAATAAAAAAGTTAAAGTTCTTCCTAATTCAAATTCTAAATATTACACATATTGTAGTGTAATGTTAAGAAATGAAAAATAGAGATATTTACCTCCTCAATACCTACCTAGTTTTTGTCATTTAAACATAATTTGAGTTATCGTAAGAAAATCTACATCTAAACTGTATTTCTCCTTCATGAGATTCTTAATACTTTATAAACAACTGGCCACACATTGACCTTGACCTGAATCTCACACTTCAGAAACATGGAATTGCAAGAAGATATATAAGAAAATACACACAATCCCCTATTATTAAACAGTTATAATAGGATGACCCTATCCTTGGAAGCGCAGCGGGAAAATCCTGTGCCTTATACCACAGTGTAGAGTTTGCACTGGTACACTATTTTCTCTGCAGCATTGAGACCTAATTAGAATGTAAGTTTTTTTAAAAATCCATTCTATTTTTCATTCCCCACTGCAATATTTTTGGTGATTGCTCACCAAAGAAGATCAGAATTTGGTTTCTTTTAGCATTCTATGAAAGCACAAAAGAAGACAATTATTCTCAGTCTCTTTAAAGCATTATATTTTCATGTGATTTTGTAAGTTTTTGTTTCTCTTTAATTTTAAGATCTTAGTTTTAAAAAAAGAAATATATATTCTGTCAAAATGTTTCCATCATTTCTTGCTGAAACCACTAGAAGCTTTTAGATATGAAAACAGGGCCAGACAGAAACACTTTATGGGAAAGTCTGCAGTAGAATGATTTTGATAATGAACACGCCTAGAGAAATAAAATCATGAATGCTGTATGTGTTGGGGGGAAGAAACTCTTATCTTCAGTTGGGTTCTGTTTCCCTTAGAGAGGCTTATGTTACCTACAATCAATAGGTCTCCAATTAAACAAAGAAGATTTACATATGTGGGTGCATTTCCGTCTAATGAAATTGGTCTAACAGTTTTAATGAGGGAAAATTCTGACTTCACTATATCTAACTGGGCCCAACACCTTAATTGTCATCTTTAACTTTTCTTTTACTTCCTGTGCCTCTCAGAGCTTAGGATTAAGTAACCATGCCAAAAACACCCTGATAAGTGAGGACAGACATACAACGTACAAATGCTCAAGAGAAATAAAGACATGACTGACAGGCCCTTTTCCTGCACAGCAAGACACTATGTGATTCAAAACCCACAAAAAATGTGAGTGTCCACTCTGAAGAGAATGGGTCAATTTTTAATCAAAATTGTGCTCTTTAAAAATGCAATAGCATTAAATTGAAATCCTTTATTTCCTCCCCTAGCAGGGTACCCAGCACATAGTAGGCACTTGATAAATTATTATTGGTATAAAGATTATACCCTCACATATAAGCTAGAGCAGTTACTATATTACTCCATCATCACCAAATCATCTTTTCTAGATAAAAAGCTCAAATAAAAGTCAAGACCAGGATCTTAAAGGGAAAAACAGATAGCCTAAATGGTTTAGCATCATCAATTGTCTAGCATCATCAGACCTTTGTTTTCAGAATTATAATTACTTACATGTCAATAATTCCTTTGGGTTAATATGAAACTATGGATTTGGGTGAAGAAATAGAAATCCATTGACATGGTAGGGTGAGAAAGGAAAATCATTCTGTAAAAAACATAGGCTTAAATTCAGTCCTAAGGTAAATGCCCAAAAACTATTTTATATGTTACCTAGTTTTAAGATCCATATTATAAGCTTCTCAAGTTCTTGTTTTGTTCAATCCAGATTTCTCATCTAGTCACCAGCTAAACAAAGATACTGAGTGCACAGTTAAGTGCCAGGTTCTATGCACCCCTATGTGGGGGTACAAAAACACTGAATACAACCCAGTCCCTGCTCAGAAAGAAATCACAGCCCAATCTGGAAATACAGATGTAGACAAATAGTTTTATTATGATAAAGGAAGTGCTAATGGCAAGTACTAATATGCTGCTAATGGATGCTGTGGGCAGGCAGGGAAGCAGTCCTTAGCCTAACCTTGGGGGGAAAAGAAAGCTTCCTTGAGGAAATGATGTTACAGCTGAGCCTTAAAGTATAAATAATGTTAGCCAAGTAAAGGTGGGTGAGGACATCCCAAGTAGGACTACTACAAGGAATAAAACAAAAATATGCGTGCATATACCTGTACTACAATAGAACCTGTGTACACAGGCAGGAAGACAAGATGGTTCCATATGTTCCATGTACCAACATTTTCACATATGTCTTTGCACATGCTCCCACCAGTTTCAAGGTTCGTTGTGTTCACTAATTAACTCAACCACAAAAGGTAATTTATCCACTTTTATCAGGCTACATTTGTCTAAATACACTTACCCTTATTGAAATATTGTACCTACTGTTTTGATTACAAATAAGAACATGCAGTGACACACAACATTGTTAAAGGGGCCTTGTCAGATGCACAGGTCATTCCACAGCACTAAGTTTCCTAAGTCTTGAAACACCCTCTCAGACTTTAACTTCTACTTCCAAAAGCTCAAGGAATCAAAGATCTGAGGCTGATGCGTTAGAATTTACTGAAACATCAGCCTAGCAGGAGTATGCAATTGGAGATTAATTCCAAATTTAAAGACAGGCAATCGTTCTTCCAGATGTTGGACAGAGTTGGAGAAAAAAAGTACCCTGAAACAATTTCCTTCTAAATACTGGATTAAAAGAAAAACAGAAAAAGATGTTAATGGTAATACTGCAGACTCATAATTCTAACCTGAAATATTTAAAAATATATAGTATTATTGAAGGCTATTTATCATTAATGTGTTCAGTTTTATTCATATTATATGAAGTAAGGGAAAACTAAAGGAAACAGAATAAAGCTAAAACTTTTAAAATGCTATTCAAGATTACCAAAAAATAAGATAGGGAAAGAAGAAAAGGAGGGATATGGTTCTAAAGATTTAGTAGCAAAAACAGAGAGATTTTCAAATTTTTTAAGCTTTCATTATTTGGAAATAAGACTCTGAAAGGAAACATCAAATATTGCTAAAATCATCAAGTAAATTGTGAGATTTGTATACAGATGGCTTATTTAATATGAAGCAACATGGTTTTCTCTTTCTCTGAAGGAACTGAACTGCTAATATCTCATGAACTATATCAAGTTCGCTTCATGTCTCTTACTGACTGTTAGACAAAGAAATCTGTCTTGAATTTCATGATGTCCTACATGTTACTGTGACTAATCCCCAACCATTTTTATTTACAGTGTTCAGAATGAGTTTCTATGACAATCCCATGCCATTTCTTAAATGTTACAAACACATTTTCTGCTTTTTAAAAATAATTATGGAACAAATAATTTGTTCTGTGCTCTATACAAAGAAAAGCACACGTATTAATGAATGGAGAAACAGATTTCACTTTCAGATTGAACAACCAGCAGATATAACAGAGAATAACAACAAATCCAATATATATTGGGCCACCAGATTTTTCTTGTTGTTATTTCATTTATCAGCCAAGCAATAGTTCTCTCATATTTTCTATCACCATCCACACACATTGTCCCATTAATCCACTAACACATGCTCACACTTATAAGACCCCTTACATGCTTTCTGTCTGAATGTAGTATGTATCTCTTTTCTTTTAATAAAAGAGAGAAAAAAAGGCAAATCAGCTTGACACTTCTGACAACTTAAAATCCACTTCAGCGTAAAAGTCTCGAGACTGCTAACTTTTTTCCAAGAAGGAGCAAAATAGGGAATTTAGGTGGCTATGCTACTGGGACTTGGCTGTGTTTTAGGAACTGCCAAATGAATTCACTACCGCCTGCTCTCCAAGGCCTTCGCTTCCTTTCTGTTTTCTACTCTCTCGTTCTCCTGCTGTTTCATTTTCCTATAACGCTATTTGTTTTATATTTCAGCATTACTAGAAGGATGCCCTTTAAAAAAAATAGAACTTTTCTGTGCACAACCAGCTTTCTTTAGAGAAAACATGCTATGGTGGCGAACTACTTTTTTTTTTTTTTTTTTTGAGATGGAGTTTCACTCTTGTTGCCCAGGCTGGAGTGCAATGGCGCGATCTCAGCTCACTACAACCTTTGCCTCCCGGGTTCAAGCGATTCTCCTGCCTCGGCCTCCCGAGTAGCTGGGATCGCAGGCATGCACCACCACACCCGGCTAATTTTGTATTTTCAGTAGAGACGGAGTTTCTCCATATTTGTCAGGCTGATCTCGAACTCCCGACCTCAGGTGATGTGCCTGCCTCAGCCTCCCAAAGTGCCGGGATTACAGGCATGAGCCACTGTGCCTGGCCAGGTGAACTATTAAATAATAGAAAGCACCTGCACCATCTTCTGTCTGCTTGAATTTTCTTTACATTTACAAAAATATTTTTGATATAAGAAAACAAAAAATTTAACACAATAGAAATATAGTCAAACGATAGAATTCCTCGACATATACCAATTTTATGGTAAAAAAAAAAAAAGCAATGTTAACAACTGGTTCTACAAATGTTTAAAACTTCATATAGGCCAGGTTTGGCAGCTCATACTTAGAATCTCAGAACTTTGAGAGGCTGAGGTGGGAGGATCACTGGAAGCTGGGAGTTCAGTGACCAGCCTGGGCAATGTAGTGAGACTCTATCTCCACAAAATATTTTTTTAAGTTAGCCCAGGGTGTTGGGATTCACCTTTAGTCCCAGCTACTTAGGAGGCTGAAGTAGGAGGATTGTGTGGGCCCAGAAGTTTGAGGCAGCAGTGAGCTACGACTGCACCACTGCACTCCAGCTAGGCAACAGAGCAAGACCCTGTCTCAAAATAATAATAATCACCATAAATTTTTTATAAGTGTTTTAAAAACTTCATACAGGCTATTAGTTGAAAGGACTCTAATTTAAAAACATCAAATGCTCTAAAATCTTGATTTCTGAGGAAATTATATCTGAGATGGCACTGACTTGTCTCAAGGTATTTTCTTCAGTTTTGCATCTCGGGAATCTATCACAGTGCCTAAGATTAGTGCTGGAAACCTATCTGCTGAACTGAACTGCCAGTCACACAGTAGAGCTTGTCAATAAAGGTAACCAAAACAGATCTTCTATGCCACCACCACCCAAAGAGCATCCGCACCGATGGAAATGATAACGGTCTACAACTGCTCTCCAACTCACACAAGAAGTTCCCGTCTCCATAGTTTCCGAGATGCATGGACTTAGAATCCTCAAATGTAAAAAAGAAGGTTTGGGCCTTAAGGTTCCCTTCAAGGTAGGAAGCTGAAACTAACACCAGAAAAGAAAAAGCTCTAGTTTCTCACTACTTTTTCAACTACTTTCTAAACAGAGAAAACAATGGCTTTCAGAGTGTTGATGTATTTGCAGAGAATATTTTTCACTCCATCCATAGTTTCAAGTCTAACATACTGGGGATCATCTTAGAGATAAAAACAGGCCATAGAAGGGTCTGGCCTAGTTACTAATCCTAACCACTTATTAACCATATAACCCTGGACAAGTTACTCAACCTCTCTGGCTGTTTCCTCACTGGCATAAAGGGAACCATAAAAGCTCCCCTACCTAAAATTTGAAGTTTATATGAAGGGCTAATTTAAAAACACATAAGAAAAGATAATTTAAATAATATAGTTTTAGGGCAAAAGTCTGGGATCTAAGGGAGTTGGCTTAAATGCTGGCTTTGCCTCTTAACTGTTGGTGTGGCCTCAAGTGAGATGCTCTCTGAACGTCTATTTCCCAAATAACAGGAGTAAGCCACAACGAAGGTCATCTACAATCTCTACTTCTCCAACACCGCCCAACATGAAAAATTCTCCAAAACTTGGAAAAGTTAAAAAGGACCAAAAAATTTTTTTAAAAAATGCAAAACCAAAGAAACTCACATCCACAATTTAGAAAATCCAACAAAGCAAATCCTAAGAAATGGTACCCAGATAGGCAACCTCCTTGAATTGCCAAAAGAGTTTAAAGAGTTGGTAATCGAATGCTCTATCACAAAGCAAAATGAATGGTTAATGCTGCTCTGTCCTGAGTTTTAGACTGGGTGACTTGATAGTAAAAAGCCCAAAAATATGAATCTATGTTCCTCTCCAATCTGTCTGTTTCCCTCCAATTCTAATGTCTCAAAACACAGCTTCACTTATTCATCGTCCCCACCCCACTCCAGCACCTCCAAGATTCAACCGCACATAAAGTAAAAAGCTATGCATAATCAGTCTTTATACAGCCAAACTGAAAATGTCTTTCTTTGAAGAATTACAAAGCTTTCTGTCTGAAACCTCTGACCTTTCTAGAGAAATCAGAGTTACTGTAGTTTAAAAATGTAGGTGGTAAAAGTACAAAGGATTACATTTATCCATTTTGCATGTTTGTCGTCTTTTCTGGGGCCAGGGGCAAATATCTTTAGAACAATTAGTTCTTCAACCATAACATTTTGGACTGAAATATCCTCATTCTCCAAAGAACTGTGTATACATATATATATATGGTTACACAGACATAGAACTGTGTGTGTGTATTACTACATATCCTGGATCCAATGAGATGGCACTTTTTTGTTAATTTTTGTTCCCACTTCATTTTACTGAAACTCTAAAATACATTAATTTTAAAACCTTTTTTAAACGTAAGATTTTTGTCTATACAGTAAGCTAAGAAATCAATAAAAGTTCATTTAAATATTTTTTTAAAACTGTAGTTACTGATTGAATGTGGGAAAAGGAGAGACTTCTAAAAGTATGTTAAGAAAAGAATTCTTAATAAAAGTCCTTGTCACATATTAAGAGGCCATACAATAAAAGTACTGCAATGACTATCTTTCCCTGACAGGAATGCACAACAATAGTTACGCTGTTGAACAGCATCGTTACAAAGACTTCATTCTCAGAAGTTACTTGAAACTACTCTCCAAAAGAGAACCTCTACCATTTAAAAGAAGAGGGGGAGGAAAGCCAACTAAATGAATCCATCAGAAACTTTAGTAACTTAGTAATTTTTATATGGTGTGCATCCATCCAAAAAAATCTTGTCATAGTCATATAAAGACGCAAAATTTCTTATGCAAATAAGCTTTTGCCAAGTTCTTATCTAGAATCTTTGCTTCATTTCAAACACTGGTAACCCACTTATCGTTAGTTCTCAATTATCTAATGTTGAAAATATGTTCTCAGGTACACAGTTTTCCATCAGCAACATGTTAATGTGTAATATTATTTATGAGTTACATTCAGCATAAAAGATATTTACAATTGTCATTGTTAATCTGCTATTATATCTGAGCCTGCACAACTCTGTTTAATAGTATGCAACAGGGGTTTACATGCAGATACACAATATCTTAATTACTTATTCTATAGTAAGCTCTTTAAGCATCTCCATCCCTCATTCATTTGGAATGTTAAAAAATGCCACGAAGAAGGGCTTGATGTCATCTCAACACTGAAAGCCATCTGTCTATGGCCCTCCTTTGACTTTACTCCTTCTGCAGCCAACATTTTCATAAAAGTTGATGAGAATTTGTCAACCTAAGGACTTGTCATGTCAGCTCCTTTGAAAGGCAATGGAATATTTGAAAGTGACAATGATGGGACCCTGTATGTACAATATTCATTTTATGTAGGAGCTTAAAATTAAATAACTAATCCCTTTAAGATTAAACTACACAGAATTCTAAGTGCATCTGACAGGACAAAAGGAGAGAGGCAAGTACATATCACTGCAAAAGAGATGGTTCTGAATTTCTGATATTAAGTGACATGTCTGTAAATTTGAAAATTAAATGAAGATGGGTAATGTAACACTACAGTTTCTATTACCCACTGACAAATACCTTTCCCTACTAAAAATTACTACTCAGATCAAGCTATCTGACTCACCACAGATATATCTTCCCCAACAGCATGAATGCAATGTACTACCCAATCACTGGCTGGCAAAATTACAAAAGGAAATAAAATCAACCAAACCATAGCAACAAAGACAGCCTGAAAATGGCAGCTGCTACACAGACATTCATACAAATTTTTAAATAGTACAGTATTTTTTAAATGTTTCAATTTCGCCTCACTTTTTTTAACCTGTAGAGCACTACAGCAATAGCCATTTAAAAATTTATATGAATACACATGCTCTGAGAACTGTCTATGTCTGGAAACTCACAAGTTATTTGGGACCACCATAAGCACTTACCAGAGATATAAAAATACATACAGTATGGAACTAGATACAGTTGACAATAGGATATGAGTACTATTTTTTTAACCAATTTAATCACTTTTCTTCACATGCCTCAAACTCAGTTTTCCCTTTCTAGCATAACTGATGCTACACAACCCTAACTTTAAGATTCATTAATATTTCTTAAAAAGAAAGCTATTTTATTTTCTTTGCTGTAAGTTCAGTTCAGCTGCTTATTTTTAAATTAAACCTTAGAAGAATTAATATGTATAATGACTTAATATAGTATAAATTATACTTATTGGTCATCTTTTTCTATTTACAATTATAAAAATTATGTTGAGTGAGGCTTTGAGTTTTTGCACTGAAATCATTAAGAACTAATCTTGTCGCCAGGCGCGGTGGCTCACGCCTGTAATCCCAGCATTTTGAGAGGCCGAGGTGGGCAGATCACAAAGTCAGGAGTTCGAGTCCAGCCTCACCAAGATGGTGAAACCCCATCTCCACTCAAAATACAAAAATTAGCCTGGCGTGGTGGTGGGAGCCTGTAATCCCAGCTACTCAGGAGACTGAGGCAGGAGAATTGTTTGAACCCAGGAGGCAGAGGTTGCAGTGAGCCAAGATCATGCCATTGCACTCCAGCCTGGGTGACAGAGCAAGACTCCGTCTCAAAAAAAAAAAAAAAAAAAAAAAGAACTAATCTTGACTAAGTTTAAAGAGTTAGAAACAAAGCTCATGGCCAGGCGTGGTGGCTCATGCCTGTAATCCCAGCACTTTGGCAGGCCGAGGCAGGTGGAACACCTGAGGCCAGGAGTTCGAGACCAGCCTGACCAACATGGAGAAACCCTGTCTCTACTAAAAATTACATGCATGGGGGTGCATGCCTGTAATCACAGCTATTCGGGAGGCTGAGACAGGAGAATCGCTTGAACCAGGGAGGCAGAGATTGCGGTGAGCCGAGATCATGCCACTGCACTCCAGCCTAGAAAACAAGGGCTAAACTCCGTCTCAAACAACAACAACAACAAAAAAAAGCTCACTAATTCACTAATTTAAGGGCACGAAATTGAAACATGTCCATCTTCAATTTTTTTCCTATTTTAATTTTTTAATTTTAAACTAATAAAATTCCATTCTTTTCTCAAACATGATTTTGGCTTTATTTTAAATAATTACACACACAGCCATAACCAAAGGATTTTTTCAGAGCAAAGTGAATTTTACATTTTAAAATCCAATCATTAGGGGAAGTTAGAAATAGATATATATTTCTCTGTCTGTAAATATATATATAAAAATATATGTAATGTATAGGGGAAATTAGAAATATATATTATGTCTTGTACATATAAAACCATGTACAAAAATCTGCATAGTAAAAATTACATGCAATTTAGTTTTTAAAATAGTGCTTAGTTTAATACACAAAGGCTTCTCAAAGCATCTAGAACGAATTAGTTTAACTTTGTCTTAACAACAACTAAAAATCTTAAACCTGTGTCATAATGCTTCTATTCACTAAATTTCAACATTATAAAAACAAAAAAGAACAAATCATTTCAGATTTTGACCCTAACAGTGACAAGTGTAACATCATTTCTCTCTTTATCAAGTGTGGCCTCATTCTGTGGCTAACATCTGAATTTGACAGTGAAATATCTCAATGGGAGGGGTTTGGATTTTGACTTTTTACTTTCCCTTTGATTCAAGACAGGTGTGTGATACCATGAAAACGACATCCAACCCTAAACAATAAGATATAAAGAAGGATACAAAATGAATTTGAATTGTTTAAGAGCATAAGATTTGAAATCAGAAGACCTGGGTTTGAATCTTGCTCTGGACATGTAACCTGGCCACTCTGAAGAGTCTATCCTCATCCGTTCAAATAGAGAGTGCATTACTAATTCATAATACTGCTATGAAAGCGACAGCAAGCTACAATATATGACTATGACAAACCTTACTCAGTGCCTGCTGCAGAACAGACATTCAATAAAAGTTATTTCCTTTCCTTCCTTCCATCTCCTTTTCTCTACTCCCAATTGATCTAGGTCCAAAATATCTACCACTAGGGAAGTATTTGAAAGACATGAAAAGAAGTAAGTTTAAAGTTCTCAAAGAACATTACAGTTATTCCACTTCAATCTCTAGTTATCATAATTATCCTCATCATTTCTTGTTTTAGGGTTAGCAACATTTTAAAGAAGACCAAGATTTGCCAAAATACACAATACAAATGAACTTCTTTTTCTCAGTTTTATCTTATTTAGCTTGTTTTACAAACAGAAAAGCAAAAATATCTTCTGCTTCAGAGTTGCTGCAACTTGTCATTTGTTGGACTTATTTCTTCACTTCATAAGCCATGTTTATTTAGCTAGAACACTAACGGGAGGACTAATTCCATTAGATAAAATATGCTTTACGCTGTGGAGTTAAAACAAAACATGAGGAATTGTTTTCTAATATTTTGGGGAAAATCTAAGGAAAAAAGTCATTTCTGTCTAAGCAGCAACTAAATAATTCTGTTAAGTTCAGGGACCCAAAAGTTTGGATCAATAATGAGTATCTTACCGTTGCCTACTGGGAAAGAGCCAAAAATTTGACAATACTCTGAACTGCCACCTTAGAAAGCAAAATAGTAAAAAGAATAAACATCTCCATGGCCCCTTTTCTGAGCTTAAGTGTGCAATGATGTCTCTAACTGGACTCCTAAATTCTAAAAAGAATTTTTGCAAAACCTTTTCCTAAAAACTTGAATAAAAACTCCCAAAGCTCTAAATAGTGTCTTAGTCTGAAAAAAGCTATGCAAAAAATTGTGGGAAGACAAATTATAAAATTCTCCACTTGATAGCTCACTGCCCAAGACTGCTTTACAGTCATTACTGAAACCAAAATACTTTTACGGTATCTCCATTTGTGATTAAGTTCAGGGTTTTATGTTTCTCTTTAACAAAGCATACGAGTTCATTCATTCTCTTCCTCCTCCACCTGACTTCTTCCTTCCCTTACTCAACCCCCATGGGTTTACAATTTATAATAATTCAAAAGCAAGCTCTAACCCTTAAATAACCATGGGAAAATTATTACTAAAATGGTAATAAATCAGTGTTTAGCACATTCACTGAACTCAATCTGCATTTTATGTTTTTTCTTCTAGTCTAATCCTCAAAATTGGTTTCAAAAATCTATATTGACATTTGTGAGCAATTAGAATTGTTGCTGCTTCTGTGCAAGATTTAAAATGCCGACAGGCTGTCCCGTGTCCTCTGGAAGCAGCTTGAGGCCTTAACCAAATGAAACACCCAGTCCTACTGTGTACAGCAGTGACCACAACAAAGGCTGTGGTTTCTCCCACACTAGCCTTAAATAGGTTTAAATTAATGCTATTCATCACAGGGTGGAAAAGAAGACAAGGAAAATCCAAGCCAGAAGCATTGGGAAATTTTCTTACCAACACACTCAACCTCTTAGCCATAAATGAACTGACTTCCATTCAAAGGTTTACTCCAGAACAACTATTTCTCCCTATTCCTGTACACTCTCTGCCTTAGAACTACCATCTTTTGCACTACATTCCAGATAAAGGATTTTGTTACTACATTCTAGGTAAAGGATATTGTTACTATCCTCAAGTTACACAGAAAACACTCAAGGATGTAAAATCAATATTTATCTCAAATTTGTTGACTGCTACTGCTATCTTTTTTGAAGAATTAAAAGATAAATTAAAATTTCTAAAAATATGCCATATATCAATAATTTACAATAGCTTGATCAGCCAAAAAATCCACCTTGAGCTTAAAGCTAGAGTTTGATAGGGTGATCCTTACTCTCCTAATTTAAATATCACTGTATATTAGTTTTACAATATACAGTGTATATTGTGTATATTGTGTATACAATATACAGTGTATATTCTTTTTCCAAACACACTTTATTAATAATTACAAATCACAGGAAGTAACTGCACAACTTTCTACTAGGGTGTTTATTAAGTTACTGAAAAAGTTTAATTACAAAAACGTATAGTCCTAGATTTGAATGTAAACACACATACATGTAGCTGCTAAAAGAATATATTGAATATATTTTGGATATGCAATGTTGCCTCAAACTAATGTAGGAAGTTACCTAAAAATTAAAATAATTTTCATAATTAATTTGGCATAAAATTATAAACTGTAACAATCTAATGCGATTTATTTATAAAAATTATAATATTCTATATGCACTGAAAACCTTATCTGTATAATTACACTGTATTTAAAATACTAGCATTTCAAAAAAGAAATCATTCCCATTGCTCAAACAGCACTCTGTGCAGCCTGGATGTGCACGCACATGCACACGAAGCACACACACGCCCCTACACAGACACTCCTAATCTTACACCTGCTCTGAAGCAGTAGGAAGTGAATTCTCAATCTGTCAACATGACCATCTGGTCTATCTGCATATCACGGCTTTCTCTATTACTATATGAAGGAATGGCAATCACGAAGCCAAAATAAAACTAAAATGCACCTGAATGGGAGTAGCTCTCTTTTGGCTGAAATGGAATAATATGAGGTACAGCAGAACAAAACTAGCAAGAATCTAAATAATTTGAAATGAGCATTCATGTCAGCATAATTAAGTGAACAATATGGTACAGGTAATGTGGTAATCAGTAATACTGTTGAGTAGGTTTATAGGACAGGTATCAGGCTTCCGAGACACTGAAACAGCTCCTTCAGTGATTGAAAGGATCTTTGCTATTCCTGATGCAAGCAAAATTAAGTAAAGGTAATAATGGTAGCAGCATGGAAGCAATCAGTAACTACTGCACTAAAAGATTACCGTGCAAAAGTGTTCTCTTTCTACCTTAAAACTAACAAGTACTCATACTGCTGCCATTAGGACAACAGCAACTTGCTTTGTCACTGGCTAATTAACAATTAAAGCAATTACCTGACAAATTGTGGTCACTTATTAATCTTTCAAACTGAATTTTAAGACTGCTAAAAATACTTCTAATGTTAGAAAATTCCTCATCTGCAAAAAGTGAAGATGGCTCACTGTGATTTAGCTTTTAGGCCTAATGTCACTTGAAAATTAGCAAAGGCCTTAGTTGAATTAAACATAAATTAATTTGTTTAATTTTAGATTTTAAATGTCCCCACACAGCTGCCTCCAAGCTTTTATTCTACCCCATGGCAGGTAATAATATCAAATATAAATTGTGAAACTGTCATTCTATGGCCTAAAAATAGCAACCTGCCTCTATCCAAGAAATGAGTCCTTAAAAAGTATAACCTTTCACAAAATCTAACTAATTTGACTGAGAATCTTTCTAGAATCTGATTACATTACCAGAAGTTTATACAGAAGTGGTTAAAAAAAAAAAAACAACAACTCTCCAGAAACTTCTCGGTTGAGTGCCTACTAATGAACAAAGGTTAACTTTATCTAAAAGGTCAAATGCCTGGTGGCTAAGGTTATGACCTTAACAACTTAAATTGTGACCTTGCCACGTGCCGGGTATATTGTAGATTCTGATACAGATCATCTGGTAAAGACTGGTCATAAATTAGCTTTACTGTTACACACCCACAAAGAAAACCATTTGCCACAATACCATAGTATCCCCAAGTTGTCATATGATACATGGGAAGGACAACTCAAATTGAGACCAAATTAAGGGCATAAAATGGTTTTGTTCTTTTAACAAGATGAAATTCTCAGGCTTATGAAATCACTCCAATTTCATTACACTTGTTACTGCTTATCAGCCACAAAATTCACAGTTCTAATGCCACTGGATTTAGAGGGAAAAAACTGGAATGTAGTTTATGTATTATATTTTAGCATGTCAATAAGTCTTAGAATAAATCACCTCCGCTTTAAAAAAAAAAAGATTGATTCTGCATTTGCTTCTAGTATTCTCACGTATGTTCTGAGATTTCAACTTCCTACCAAAGAAAGGTGGACACATAAAGCAAGAATTATTACACACAAATTTCAGAAGGAAAAGAAGATCTAATTTCTATGACCATCTAGGGGGAAAAAAAGGCATTCTGGAAAGGAAAAAAATATAACAATTTAAAAGAAAGAGCGAGAAAAAACGCATTATAGGTGAAAAGGCCACAATGGTTTTGGCATGTATCTTGAAGCACGTTTCAGAGTCTCTGCCTCCTGCCAATACTGGCAAGTTCTCAAAACTTTTAAGGAGGTAAAAACATTGTTTAGTGTTTACAAATCTTCAGTATTATAACAGATGCTTGTCAAATCAGTTGTATGTAAGTTGACCGATCTACCTCATATTTGTATTGGCAGCTTCCCTTCCACAAATAACAGGTCTCTGAATCTCTTAAATCAAATTTGAAATATTTTCAGACAAAAGACCCTTAATATTTTCTTTTACAGTCTTCCTGTTGCGCGCACAGAGAAGCAGCCATTACTGCGGTCCCGTGAAAACCAATGGCCAAACATTTGGCTGGCATTCAGGCATAACAAGGGATTCTGGGATACATCAGGAAAACCAAACCGAAGAGTAGTCTGATCTATGCTGCTGTCAATAAATCTTTCATAAGCAATAAGGATGCTAACTCTCCTAAGTAACCTTCTAAATGTCATTTTACCAACATAACCCCTTCAGGCATTGCAACAACCAACAACTGTGTTAGTTCAAGGATTGGGAGCAATAGCACAGTAACAAACCAACGACGAAAAAGAAGGCACGTAATGAGAACAGCGAAAAGATTGCATTTCTTTAAATAACAGAGAAATGTTTAAGACGAAAACTTAGAATGGACACTGCTTACACCGACAAAAACTTCACAGGTATTTCATTTTGATGTTATCTTATATGGAAGCACACATCATGATCTGCATCACCTGTTGGCACTTTCAAGTTTCGATGTTGGTCATCTATTCGGGATAATTTATAGGTTATATTTTTCTAAATATCTAAAAGGTAAAAACAAGATTTTAAAGAGTGCTTCTTGAAAGCACCTGTAACACCTATACTTTTTTTGCGTTTTGCTGTGCTTAACATATGCAGACACATTTTTTAAAAATTTTAACTTTACTTTTTCAGTAAACAAAACAAATGAACAACAACAGGGTTAAGAGTGGGTTAAAAAAGGGCTACTTATTCCTGCTTAGAGGTCACTTGAGAGGTGCTGACTTTTCATTCTTGCTACCCAGAATTGGCTAAAGCAAAAGGCAATTCTTATAATTAAGTATACATTTTTGAAAACCCAAATATTTGAAACACTTACAGCTCACATCCTCTAAAATACTCATCTATCCCCTGCCAACAGAATGCAAATGATGATGTGACATGCTTGCAAAGCTAATTTCTCCAGTTTCTTATGTAAGGGCAGATGGATAACAAAAGTTCTCTTTCTAAAACATATATTGAGAAAAATAATAGAGAACAGGCTATCAGCTGGCTTCTTTAAAAACTCACTAACATTTTTAGAATTAAAAATGTTTTGAAGAAAAGTGCAGTGTTTTTACAGGTAACATCTCTCCTTTGTAAAAAAAAAAAAAAAAAAAGAAAAAAAAACGTTAAATATTTGAACCCCAAAACAACCTACTGGTAGGATTCCACAACCCTCTTTCTTCCATCTGGCTCAAGTAACTGCCATGAAGGTAATCTAGCAAGACCGATATGTACATATATAAAGTCAACAAGTTACACAAGACCTGAGCGTTCACATAGCACAATGAGCCTTTTGTCTAAAACAAGACGAAAGGAACAAAGTAAAAATGCATTATTTTATCCAGTCCTCAATAGTTTTATCCTGCATGCTATTCTAAACACTGAAACATGCACAGGTAAGACATGCCTTGAAAAAACAGAAAAAAAATTTAAGATTTTACAATCAAAGCAACTCACTACATCAATTATCAATAGCAATTTTTCAATGTGTTCATGCAATATACAGGTTGGTTATTTTTAATATTAACCTCTCCATCAATTACTGAAAGAGCTGGTTTGTTTCCCTTAGCTATCTGAGACAACACTAAGAATTCCTAAATACAAAGCTACTAAGTCTGCGTATTAATGTGATTATTTTTCCTTCCTAAATGATCAGCAATTTGATAGTAATCTACCTCCAACTTCTTAATTGGCAAGGGGTTCAAGAGGCCTCAGTAGGTTAAAAACACTCCCAGCAGAAAACCAACTAAAAATATTGCCTCAATACCAAAATAAATGCTTTTAAACTAGATCATTTGTCAGTTAAAATATACTCTTTATTAAAAGGGTTTTCACGAGGCTTCTCTCATCCCCTCATCAAAAAATGTGATTTAAACATATCACATATCTGATTACCAACGCCTCTGAAAACACTACTTACCAAAAGAGCTGAACTTAGTGAGAATTCGCTCAAAGCTATGCTTTTTCACCTGAATGAAGGTGGCACCTCTCTCAATCTTTGAAACCACACTGGCTTCATGTACGTGGCCTGCAACTTGGGGAGCTCAGGAAGAATCCGGCATAACGCGGAGGCCATCAGGAAAGAAACACACACAAGAAAGTGGGAGGAATTCTCACCATCGCACTTACCTGCTGCATGCACAAAGTATGCCAAATATAAATCGAGTTCCTTAACAGAAACCCCTATGTGATGGGGTTGGACACAGAGCCCTGGATTAGAGCATTGTGGGGACTTTACAAGGCGCTCGCCATCAGTACTTTCCAGCGGAATACCTTTAAACAAAATCACCATAACAAGGTCCAACCTCCAGACTTTATCTGCCTGGCGGAGGCAGTCAATTCTTCGCATCTTGCCTTTCTGGTCTGGGTTGGAAAGAACACAACATGGAGGTTTTTTCCCTGTAACTGTAAGAACAAAATCCTCTCGATATTCGGGTCGGATATCTTTCCGCAACTTTGCCAGAAGTCGAGATGCCCACTTCTGCTTGACCTCTGGTTTTTCACTTAGCAATTCATCCTTCACGGCTCTCTCTTCTTCTTTTGACATACGCTTTTCATGTTTTTTGAAGTATTTTCGTTTTCGGGCCTGCAGGTTGAACCATGTGTAGGCAAAGGCTCGGACGTGGGGCAGAAGTGCTTCGATGAAAGGATGAAATTCATCCTAGGAAAATGAACAAAAAGAAAAATATAAGTAGAATGAAAACAAAAGAAAACAACTTTTCTTCAGCGGGTCACCTTAAGAAAGAAATTCCTCATTTCACTTGAAATTTGATTAGAGCATTCTGTTACCAAAATCATACACAGGATCCTATGGGAAGTCTGGGAAGGTGGGAGAGAAAACTATCAGTATCATTTCTTATGATCGGAAATAAAAAAACTGCTGAAAATTAAAAAACTGTTTTAATATGTTCACCAGGGTACACCAGCTACTACTGTCGGGCCTAGCTCCCCATCCTTTAGATAGTAAGTGAAGTTTATCTAAATGCTTATAACAATGTATAATCTTAACCCTATTTCAAGGAAGGCATATCTAATTTTGTCCCAGCCTTGACCTCACCACTTGTAGTACAGCCAGGGCCCAGCCGCCAGATTGGCAAATCCTAAACATTTAGATGCCAGTCAATGTTTATGGAAGTCTAGGAGCAAAAAATCATCTCTACAATCAATGAAAACAAAGGCTTTCCCCCTAAAAATATTGCATGTAGATTCTGATATGTTTCTTACTCATTTTGCTAGTGTCTAAATTCCCCTTTTAAATATTATAACTACATATAATTTTTTTAGTCAAAAACTAGGACAAATTTGGGAGGTTCATATACAAAAGAAGGATTGAATTTGATATTTATTAGGCTAAAATAAAAGATCTATGCCCAAGACATAATTGCTAATACTATGGGAATGAAACAAAAAGGGGGAAGAAAGAGGAAAAAAAAACAAAGAAAAGCATACATGAATACATTTAATTTACTAATATGATTGTGAAGTGCTTTCAGTAATAATCATACCTAAAAAATAGATTATTTAATTTTTGCAAATACTATTTCAGGATTTTTCTCATAGGGAATCAGAACCTGGTATTTTCAATATTTACAAGATGCCGGGAAAACCCTCATAGATGCCTCTTAAAATTGAAAAAAAAATTGAGTTTCAAATATTTAAATGTTTCTTTCTGTTTTGCTTAAAATGTTTGATCCTTATACATGACATTTTCTTAGGAAATATAAATATATTTTTTAAAAAATTAAGCAGTAACCTCCACAAAGCTTTCGGAGTACGTCTAACTTTTGATTAACTAATCCACACTGTTACATAACTTCTCTCTGCCACATAACCCCCTCTCCAAAACATAGATTACCTTCAAATAAATGAGGATTAGAAACCAAAGAAAGATTCGATGGCTTTTTTGCTAAATGGTGTAGGACAGACAAATATTATAAAATGCATTCTTTTTCAGTTTGTTATATCTAACTAAATATATACTTTCAAGGCACAGGTAGCAGTAATGTCCAGAATATTATTATTAACACAATTACTAAATTTTTAAATGTTCAAATGTGAACTGATAAGGTAAAATATTTAATAGTCGTGTTGTTTAAAAATTTAGCAAATTATAATCAATCATTTAAACACTCTATATGACTGAGCTTTTAAAAGTAAGTATATATTAATACATAATAAATTACTTCAATAACTGACTTTTTTCCTCTCTGCACAAATTTCAGGTTCTATGTTTCAAGTTTAGCTTTCAAAACTGCTCTTTTTCAATAAAAGAATCCAAAAGAGAAGTAGTCAGCTTTTGTAACACGTGTGCATTCTTTAAGTAGAGAGAGAATAGAAAAAAATACAGGAATTGTTATTCTTGCCATAAACCATTAACATTTTTAAAATTTCTGATGTTTGAGAATATTTCTTATTCTCATACTTTAGGTGACAGGCATGGGGGGCAAGTCACAGTTTATCTGCAAAGGTATACGCCAAACCACAAAGCATCTAAACGTTACTAAATTCTGAGCTCATCCTTGAAATGATCTAAAATACATAAATTTTAGGTTTGAAACAGAACTTCACATTGACTGATTTTCTTATATATACAAGACATGCTAGGGACCAAGACTCTGTTGTATTATGCAAAAAACTCCTGGAGTCTACCTTAAACTACCAAGTGAGCTTTCACCAAAAGGAGGACTTCATTTTAAAGTTTCATCCCCATTTTATAATGCAAAGTATAACTTAGCTCCAAACGATTCATATCTATGTTAAAATGTTATCTTATTTAAAAGTTTGATTAATGATAATAAGCATTTAAAATAAACATTCTAATATGGCATTTTAAGTGTCTGTAGATACTCCCAATATGCTTTTCAAAAAACTGCAAACTGCATGCATGCATTCGTGTCCAACAGGATTCTGTTTACCTGCCAACCAAATGCCCATATATCTCATCATAAAAATCCTTAAACAAGAACAACTATGTCAATTAGTCATTAAGAATAACTTAAGTCCCCAATTTTGCATCAAAAGTATTTACAATGTATTACTCCCCAAAGGTTAAGAACCTGCCAGTAAAAGTCCACAATATTTTGTATAACTTTACTCATATGCACAATTAAAGTATTGATTTTTTCTAATGTATCTTTCTCAAGTCATGATTTAAAATATTCCAGAATATCAAAACTAAAGAGTATCATTAGCTTGCAAGAAATGTCCAGGAATAGCATAAATGATTAGTTAAAAAAAAAAAGTAGTGTGCCCTTATAATTCATGTTGCTGAACATATCGCTATAAGCTAGGTACTATTTCATAACATTCAAGAGGAAAAAAAGAACGTTTTACATATGTACTCAGTGAGAAAGTTATAGGCCACCAATAAAAACAAACCTGAAAACCTGTTTCAAAAGTGGTATTACTTTGAATCAGCATCTTAAACATTGATCTGTTTGAAAGTGAGCCAAGTTTAAGAACCACTGAATGCTGATATTTCTGGAAACTACTTTTTTTAAAAGTTCACCTACAAATTTCTGCTGGGTTATCATTATATGGACAGTACCTGATTTGATTATATGCCCATATTTGATTAAAATAAGATGTCTAGGTTTTTCTTGGTAAAGTTTTTTTTTAAATTGCCTACAAGTTAAATGGAGTTTCATTTAGAGTATAGTGATAGAAATCACTGTGCTTACTGATTTTTTTTAATGAGCAATAAACTACCGAAGTTCTTCTTCCTAAAACTGGCTCTAAAACATTATAAATATCCCAGCAAGTTAAATAAATTGTAAATAAATTTTTAAAAGCAGAACCCATAAAATATGAGCCCTCATTCACTATTTATTGTACATTTTCTTTACAAACTGTTACACTAAATAAGCATTTCTCTTAGTGGTGTTTCCAGAAGAAGGCCTAGTGAATGCATCAATCAACGCTGCTGAATATGTAAGCCGAAAAAAAAAGAAAAAAAAAAACTCTCTTAATGTCATAATACCTCATGAACCAACAGAGGCCAACTTTGTTAAATACCTGACTGTGCCCTAGGCCTGCATGGATATACAGGTGCCCTCATATATGCACCATTCCCAAATATAAATTTATCTTTTCAGAGCTCAATTGAGAAGACACTAATGTATCTGTTAGGGTCCTTTCCCTTTATTGCAGCTCGCTGATATTATCTACAAGTTCTGTGTGTTGCAAACTTCTGCCAGCTAGAACTTCAGCCTTCGAATCTCAGCATTTTCACTATAGTCCGTAATTCATTCAAATTATCTTACACTTTGCATCTTATCCATATGCAATTGTGAACCTTGCCAGAAGTGGTTGGAAAAGTTTCATTCCATACTTCCACAAGTTACTAAAATAGGAACTTTGGAAGTTTGTTAGGAAAAAAAAAAAAAACTTTTACAGTAACTAAAAGTAACTGCTATCCATTATTAATGCTAGGCCTAAATCCCAAACAGACCATTTCAACATAAAAGATGCGTTTAAGAGTCTTCTGAGATCAAATACCCGGTATTATTACTGTTAGATATTGCAATAAGAAGGGATGTCATGTGGGAAATAAATCCAGAATCTAGAGAGGAGAGCGAAAACTACTGATACTTTTTAGCCTTCCAGAAACTATTCCGGTTAAACCGTTATCTCCTACTAAATGAAGGCAAGAAGTGGTAGGTTTTTTAAGGGAGAGGTGAATAAACATTTTATGTGAAGCATATAACTTCATGTAGGTGATTAATGGTCAGATCCTAATGTACCAAAGCAGTATGAAATCTCACGCTTAAAAAAAAAATAGCGCAAAACCACTTTGACTTCAAGCCTTTTAGTCAAGGAAAACAAATAACATATTCAAAGGGGACCGGATTTGAAGTCTCGAAGTAGCAATATTTTGCCTGGGGGTGGGTAGACAAGGGAGGAATGGACAGGGGGGCACGGAAAGGAGAGGCGGTGGGGCGCAAGAGCCCCATGCTCTGAGTTGAGTCGGAGGGGAAAAGTTGCCCCCGTCCTGCGCGCGGAGCGGCCGGAGTCGCGCGGTGGCGGTGGTGGTGGTGGCGGCGGCGGCGGCGGGGGGAGCCGTGTCCGGCCCGGGCCGCCGCTCCGGCTCCCGGCTAGGAGCCCAACTCTGCCCGGCGCTACCCGGCCCGCGGCCCGCGGCCTCCGGCGTTCGGCGCCCTGCACAACGTGGGCTCGTCTCGGCCCCGAAACTTTCACTCCGGGAGAGCCAACGGGCCACCGGCGCGCGGCGAGGACGCAGGCTCCACCCGGCCGGCGCGGGGGAACGCGCGTCCACGTAGCCCCGCTCAGCCGAGGGCTAGCCGCAGCCTGCCCGCGTCCGAGGGGCGCTGTCCGGGCCGGGGCCGGGACGGGAGCCCGCGTCCTTTCCGCGGCCGGACCCCGAAGGCTGACAAACAATAAACAAAAGTAAGAGTTCGGGAAGACGGCGGGGGGCTGCGGCAGCGCAGGCTGCGGGGAGCGGGCCGTTGGGCGCAGGCACCCGAGGTCTCCCCGCACCCGAGGACTGCAGCCGGCCCGAGCGTGCGGGGTGAGCGGTGGGCTCCGTCGGCGGCCCCCTCCCCGGGCGCTGCGGCACTACGGAATCCCTGCTCCCGGCAGCAGAAACGCTGAGCCAGATTTCTGCGTGTCATGGACTGCAACCCCGCCGAAACACGTGCGGGGTGTCCGAAAACACTGCTGTTCCGCAGTCCGTCGCCCCGATATTAATTAACGCATTAATAAGAGGGCGCCATTAGCCATGTGCCCACACAAATGGCCGTGCAAGAGGAATGCACCCGCATGGAAACAAAGTTACTTTCTTTAAGCGGGATCCCCCCCCCCACCCGCGGGCACACGCGCGCACACACACAGAAACACGCGCAGACACAGACACACACCGAGACGCACGCCCTGGGCCCGGCCGGAGCGACGGCCCCGGTGCCCCCCACCCAGCCCCAGCCCTGCCCCCGGCGCCCCGGCCCCCAAGCCCTCCGCATCCACGCCGCGGCTTACCTGGGTGAGACAGAGCGGAGAATACATAACTGCCGGGCGCTGGGGTATGCGTGTGCGTCTGGGTGTGCGGTTTGGAGGTGTGCGTGAGTGTGGGTGAGAGAGGAGAAAGAGGGAGAGAGGAAGAGAGAGAGAGAGAGAGAGAGAGAAGGGGGGAGAAAAAAAAATCAAGCCTGCTTCTTGCGTTCACATTTCCAAGTCGGCTCAACTGCAGCCAGCCAGCCAGCGCTATTGCCGCTCCATGAGCTGAACTTTAACCCCGCCTAGAGTTTCCCTACACTCCACTATACATGCCTACTGTACGCGGGTGTTAAAGGCATAGCGCACCCTTTCCCGCTCCCGCGCCGGCCCGGCCGGGTGCCCGCGAGCTGCCCGCGCGCCCGCCTCCGCCTCCGCTCTGCACCGCACCGCACAGCCGCCGCCCGCTCGCGCCGCCGCCGCGGGGGGGAGGGGGTGTGGGGGAGGGGGCGGCTGCGGCGCCGCGCGGCCAGCCGGGTCCCGAGCCTCCGCGGCCGCTCGCGCTCGCAGGCTGGCTCGCTCGCTCCCCGGCTCTCTCCGTGGCTCGCTCCTTGCTCGCTCGCTTGCTCGCTCTCCCGCTCGCTCCCCGGCCCCCCCGCCCCCTCCCCCGATCAGCGCATTACTGGGTAACGCAGTGAGGAGCAGTTACAGTCTGTACTCCCGGGCAGCTATAGGCTGCCACAGGATGTGCTTAAGCAAACAAAACTACTTTTCCTCGTCCCCATCCCCCCACCCCCGCTGCAGACCTCCGCGGACCTCGGTGGAGGACTTGGGCAACTTTGCCAGGTTGCCCCGCACCCCCCGGGCCACCGCGTGGGCACGTAGAGAACCGAGGAGGAGGCCGGGCGGCACATTTGCATGTATGCAAATTTCTTTGAAAAATCAGACCTCCTAGGTAACTTTTTTTCCCCCACTGAAATGCGGTAAGGCTCAAAGCATTGTAATCTCTCCAGCGAAGCTTTCTGTGGGAATAGATTCGTCGGCAGAGGTAATTATGCACACAATCCTGCAAACTTTGTGCAGCTTCGGTCCTGTGGCATTCAGAAGCGGGGGTGGTGAGGAATCAGTGCCCACAGAAGATTCACCGGATTTGGGGGGCGGGGGTCTGGAGAAAAGAAGGCGGAGATTAATGAGCGTTATCCCTCCCAGGACTGTGAAACTAGTGGGTTTGAACACAGACGCCATAGAAAAAGTTCTATCACGTTCAGAAACAACAGTGGTTTAGCTGTGACATCTTTTACTTTTTAGGAGGAAAAAAATATGTGAAAGGGATGTCCCCTTAGGGAAGGGAGATATTCTGATCCACAAACGCGTGCCCAGAACTGGACATAGGCTATCATTACCGTCCCAGTTTCTGGGACACCTCTGGAAGGGTGCCTTTTAAGAATCCCTTTTTTCCCTCCCCCAGGTAATAGTTCTTAAAATGGAAAAGAGCTTCCTGCAATTATTTTAGGTTTGCTAAAGTATTGTTTTGGCAGAAAAGAGGGGGGTGGTTTTTAGGGTTTGGCAAGTTGCCAGTAAGCCTGCTTTTCCAGTTTTTTTTTTTTAACCTCATATTTTCTCTCTAGGCTCTCCTCTCTCGGAGGGGGGAAAGCCTACCTGCCTCTTCTAAGCCCCCATCCCTTATTTTACTTCTCTTCCTCATGATGGTTTGCAAAATGCTGCATTTGACAACCCTTCTCAAAATTCCAAAAGGAAAGAGGTAGGTATCATGTTGAAAGACACTGGCACACAGGGGAATCTGCCCTTCGGTGGAGGTGACATAACCAGAGAGTCTCTAAAGAGGGGACATTCCTGTAGGAAAGTGAGGGTAAGTGATGTGTTAACAAGTGAGGGTGAGTGATGTGTTAAGGCCACTCTCATTCAGACTTCTTTTCAAAGCAAGGGGCAGGAAATACTGTACTGGAGAAAGAGCAAAAGAGAACCTCTGAAATAATTCTGCATCTGTCTAAAGTTATTTTATGCTTGTACTTTAGTTACTTTATTGCCAAAATAATTCCCGAATGCTCAAGAACCATTCTCTCTCCCACCCTCCCTCCTGAACATCCTTGGAAATCTCTCAAGATTATTTACTAAGGAGTGAGGAGAAATAATGATTTCAGCCTTTAATGAGAGAGTCCATTTTCCCAAACTTAACCCACTGCTTTTCCTTGGTTCCTCTCAGATTTTAGTAGGGGAGGAATGTCCTAAAAGCCAAGCTGTGTTACAGAGACAACATCCCTGGCCACGAGAACCTTTGCTGGGATCTATAACTTCAATGCGCTCCAAGTTTCCTCGATAGAAGTTTCTGGCTGACGGTCCCAACATGTAACTGAGGCACAGTGAAAAGTTATTGTTCAGAGTGTGTACTCGGGAAGCTCTCTTCCAGAGCAGATTAAAATCTTTCTTTTGGTGTATTAAAAGATACACTTCACATCTGCCTATTTTCAAAACGGCAAAGATTCTTACTTTTGAGTCTCAAGGAAAAAAAAGATTTTTTTTAAAAAGGACTGGCATGTCGCCCTGTTTTTTTTTTTTAATGGGGGAAGTAATTTAATGCTGATATTTCTACTTTAAAAACTTCTTTTGTTGCAGCAGTGGATGTGCCCCGCGATTTCCAGCTTTCTGCGGTTAGCAATATTATCTTAAGTAACTTTTGGCGCCCTTCGTAAGACTTTTGGATATGGGACGATTGTTTGCGCCCTCTAGGCAAGGGCTGGATCCAAGTTCAGCACCAAAGCCCTTCACATCCGCTCCTGCTTTCTCTCCTATCTCCGCCAGCTCCCGCTCCCTCCCCCGCGGAGGGAGGGGGGGAGGCGGGGGAACACTACAAAGCACAGTTCCAACTACAGCCTTTGGAAACAAGACTGAGAAAAATACAGTAGAAGAGTTACAGTTACAGAAAGGCTTCTGGTAACTTTCTCTCCAACAGGCATAAATTTAAACACACGCACAAAGAAACAGATGTTCCTCAAAGGGCAGACTGGGGGTAAAAAACATTTCCAACCCTCTCCCCTCTTCCCAAGTTGCAAAAGTAAATCCTTGTCCAGAGTTCACAAAGATACTAAGGCACTTGAGAGAGAGCAGGGATGGAGGAGGAGGGAAGAAAGAAAGGATAGTAGAGAGAGCAGTGGAGGAAACGCAGGTGAAGTATGGAAACTAGTTCACTGCAATCATATAAATGACCCATTGTTAGGAAGGATAAACCCCTTATTGGAAATAACCTCTCCAATCATTTATTTTCCAAGTGGTAGGAGGCTGCCTTGAAATGGGATTGTCTCTGCGCAAAGGAGGCTCCTGTCATGCTCTCTGCTATCCATATTCTTCCTGGCACAGAGCCCAGCCTTGCATTTACTGTGTTTTATTTGCAGAAACGTTACCTTGCCAGCTTTAGTGAAATCCTCTTAGATATATAAATTACGTCAATAAGGTTTCACTTATATGTACATCTCAAATAGCTCTCATTTTGGAGGTTACTTAATAGGGAGATCTTATTAATATGATTTAGATTTTAATACCCAAAGCAGTGAAGATAGGACTGGGATTCATAAGCGACAACACCATAACTCTGTAGTTCTTACCAAAACTAACTTTATTAACTGGCATTTTTCAACATTTTTTCTTCTCTGGTTTTTGACCTGCTGGTCACTTCTGTGCAGATTTTTCTTATGTGCATATAATCCTAAATTGAATCATGTTGCTGAAGTGAGTGTCCAAGTGAATTCTTACATCAAATTTCCAAGCCAGATTTGACTGGAAGGCCTAAAGCCTTGGGAAATAGCTCGATGGGAATTTAATCCAAAGAAGGGAAAGAGCCCATATTATTTTCCATTCACTTCCCAACAGAATTGGGTGTCTACGCTGCTCAGAGAGGAGGAGATGGAGATATTTTAGTCAGAGGCTGCCAGTTACTGTCTCCAAGACAAGCTACTGCAGTTGGTTTCCACTGGATTTGTATCAAGCACTTGTCCAAGAGGCCAGACTCCAACTAACAGTTAGCAAGTCAGCGATCTTCCATACACTCTCCACGGGGGTTGTTGTGGTAACAAGGAGAAACGTGAACTTGGCCAGTCTTAACGTCCTATTTCCTACTGACCATATACTTAAAAAGCAGAATTCAAGAATAGCCAAGAAAAAACACTCCCCTAATTTCTTTCAAGTGTGTAAGACAGCTGCTAGTCCACATGTGAAACATTCTCTCCTTTAAAACTGTTGTTTAGAGTTCAAGAAGAGAGGTTTACCTATTAATTTCAAAGTACTTGAAATGCCAAAGCTTCTAAGATAATCAGAGTAAGAAGTTTTGTAATGCTGAATACGCAATATATTACTTCCCAAAGCTCACTACAGTCCCACAATTCAGGCAAGATTTAAGCCACACGTTTCTTAAAGTTGAACTTCACATTCCACAAGTTACCAGCTTCCCTGAGCATAAAAATAATAGCTAATGCAAAGTTAATAACAATACAAAGTTATTTCTCTAGCAGAATGTTTCTTTTTCCAAAAGACAAGGAAGAAGGCACACGATTCATGCAAAACTCCCCCGATCAGCTTTTTTTTTTTTCTTAAACGCGAAAATTCTTTCCTATTGTGCTTGCTAAATCCGGAAGCGCTTGTAGCTTTGACAGCTTGAACCACACCATCCCCTTCAGAGCTGCAGAGAACTTCAGATCTCCTCTGCCCCGCCCCCTCTGGCTATTGAGAACTATTGTACACCCAAGCTTCCTTATGATTGGATAAAGCTTTTGTCAATCTCCCAAGTTGTCCCATTGATTAGAGGATCAAATCGTCAATTATTCTCCGGGTCCAGACATTTCTTTTCGGGTTAGGTTGACTGCTGAGGCCAGACGTCTTTTACAGAACAGAGCACGTACAGGATTTCCCCCCACCCCTTTCTGGAACCGAGCAAGCGCTAGGAGGAAAAAAAAATCTGTCAAGCTCAGCAATTTTTTCAAATCCCGAAAAAAAAAAAAAAGAAAAAGAAAACCCGGTCTCTGATGCACATAGCAAAAACACCATCAACAAAGCTACATCTTTAAAACAAAACCATCACAATAGACATTTACCCAGCAATCACTTAAGTGCATATGCGAGCTAGAGAAATTTTAGTCTTAGCCATTAAACAAAATCATTCTACCATTGTTTATAAAACGCATATCATATAAATGCAAAATAGAAAGTTTAAGATGTACCACGTACCATTGCAATGTAAAAAGAGTACGTGAGAAACTTTAAAATGCTCAGACGAATTGCTTCATTTGTTGTCCCCTTTTTTTTGCATTTAAAAAATATCTAAATAAACTTGGAACCGTTGAAAACCCGGAAGAGATTTTTTAAAAAGCTGTTGGCCAATTGCAGGCTTCTTGGAGAATTTTTTTTTTAACTCCAAATCAGAAGGCTTTTGCAATTGCAAGGCGCGCTCTCTCCCTCTCTCACTGTCTCGCTCTCGCTCGCTCGCTCGCTCGCTCTCACTCTCTCTTTTGAAAGCGATCCAACCCGGGCTGGCTGGTTCTCAGATTCGCTCTGGTTTTGCCTTGCGTGCTTTGGATTGTACGAGACTTTGCAGAAGTTGCAATCGATTCGGCAGTCCCTCTCTCCTCTCCCAACTCCCTTGTTTATTTCCGCAATCGCTGCAATTTGCATAGTAACCACGCACGAGGTACCGGCGGCAGCCTGCGGCGGAGGGGGCAGGGAGGGGGCAGGGAAAAGGCCTTGCCCCCTTCTCCCCTCCTCCAGTCTGTCTCCCCGCCAGTCGTCTCCTCCCCTACGGCGCGTGGCCAATAGGAGCCCCTACATTCGGCGCAAGCTCCGGTCTGGACACCGTTCTGAAGAAAAGCCCCTGTGTTACTAGGCCCGGCTCTCGGAATCGTTCTGTTGGCGCAGTACAAGTTCCCCTGCTTGCGCACCTCGCAGCCGGTACTGGGCAACGTGAGGATAAAGTACCTTTGCCTGCGGTTGTGCGGGTTTTGCACCTTTTAATCAAGTCTGCACACCTGCTCTCTCGGTTTCTTTTTCCAGGGCCTCTCGTGAGTTATTAGGCTAGTTCATGATGGTTAGTGAGAGATTTAACCTTTATTTGCACTAGTGTAGACCAAGAGTTAAAGATCCTCTTTGGTGCATTAAATCAAGAGAGTGCAAAATGTCACAGGGAACTTGCAGTGAAATAAAGCGTCTACCCTAGGTTAGGAAAGAAAAAGACAGTGGCTCTATTCTCTGCAGATGACTGAACATAAAATTGTTAGGTGGGCTCCCTCAAGAATAAAGCTGTTCTTTTAAGGCAGGAGATACGGTGAAATTCTAATTTAATTGCCAAGCATCTAATTTGTCAATATCCTTACAAAACCTGGGTTCCACAAAATTAAAGGAGACCCCTCCCCTTCCTACTCCCCTAAGAGAAGAGCTGTAAGAGTTTTGACATTTAAAAGGGGGGTTTTAAAAGATAATTATTGGAACATTAAGTCCTTCATCTCACTGACTCACCTTATTTCATTAACCCAGACTCTTTAAGACCATGTAGTCTGGATATTTCAATGTCAACAGTTTAAGTGTTTGTTTTAAACAACAAAATAGCCATTGGTGCAGAGCAAGGAAATAAGACTCTGAAGGGAGGGAGTTATCTCTTTAAATGGAAAGCACACAACCAGGCTACTGCGGTTTTCGTTGTTGTTTTTAAAAATGTGATTGCTGGCTGGGCACGGTCGCTCACGCCTGTAATCCCAACACTTTGGGAGGCCGAGGTGGGCGGATCACAAGGTCAGGAGATCGAGACCATCCTGCCCAACATGGTGAAACCCCGTCTCTACCAAAATTACAAAAATTAGCCGGGTGTGGTGGCGCGTGCCTGTAATCCCAGTTACTTGGGAGGCTGAGGCACGAGAATCGCTTGAACCCAGCAGGCGGAGGTTGCAGTGAGCCAAGATCACACCACTGCACTCCAGCCTGGTGACAGAGCGAGACTCTGTCTCAAAAAAAAAAAATTGTGTTTGCTTTGAGTCAGTTAAGGAGCATAGGACATTTTGCTGAATAACTTAGAGGAAAACGTGTGCTTACCTGGCTTGATTAAAAGTATCCAGTAAGAAGTCAAGAGTAATAGGAAGCAACCTGGCAGTTGTCTGATTTTCTTAACTGTCCTTGGTGAAGGTACCTAATTAATTAATAACAGGACCTTGCATAGTTAAATTGGAGGTTAGAGAAACCTCATATTTTATGTTGAATCACATTTTTTGCTTCGGTCTTGCTCTCTACAACTAGTCGACTGATGTAGCCGTACTGTGGCTGGCCTTGGCATTAGCTTTGCTGTTCTGGTCTGCCCCTCATAGATGCAGATATGCTCTTGGCTGTAGCAAGCCTGTGGCATTTAATCCTAGCCTCCTCCACTGAGCATCCATTTCCACTTGGTGTACTACTCTCACCTAGAAATACACTTGATGTGATGTAGCGGCTTCAGTTTAAATAAAAAATAATACTTTGGGAGGCCGAGGCAGGTGGATCACCAGGTCAGGATCTCGAGACCAGCCTGGCCAACATGGTGAAACCCCGTCTCTACTAAAAATACAATAATAATAATAATAACAATTTTTTTAAGTAACCAAAAAAAAAAGTTTTGGGCCTGGTTTAGCTGGTACTAGACTGTGTGACCTTGAGATGGTTACATAACACCTGTAAAACAAGACATCAACCTATTGTGAGAGTGGAAGGTTTTGTCAAAAGGTAAGAACCGTTGAGATGCAGAAGAGGTGTCAACCTGTACTGCATTGCTCTGTAGATACTATGGTCTGAATAATCTCTGATGCTAAGCAGGCCAGGCCTTGTAAGTAGGTGGTAACAGTGAATTTTGTGTGCATTGTCTGTAGTGCATTAACTCAGTTTGATATGGTAGGTTGGCACCATTTCCAAAGTGACCTTTTATATCTCCATCTAGTCAACAACAACATAGCATTGACAACATAGCATTGGCTTCAGAGTCCAACTTAGGTTTTTTTTTTTGGACAGAGTTTTTGCTCTTGTTGCCCAGGCTGGAGTGCAGTGCTGCGATCTCGGCTCACTGCAACCTCTGCCTCCTGGGTTCAAGTGATTCTCCTGCCTCAGCCTCCTCAGTAGTTGGGACTACAGGCACCCGCCACCATGCCTGGCTAATTTTTGTATTTTTAATAGAGACCGGGTTTCACCATGTTGGGCAGGATGGTCTCAATCTCCTGACCTTGTGATCCGCCCACCTCGGCCTCCCAAAGTGCTGGGATTACAGGTGTGAACCACCAAGCCTGGCCTCAACTTAGGTTTTAATGTTGGTTCTACCATGTGTATTTTTTTTTTTTTCAGGCAAAACCTCTGCAAGCTTTAGATTTCTGATCTGGAAAATGGGAGATAGATAACATATGTAAATTAACTAGTACATTATGTGTGCTCAATATAGGCTCATTGAAGGTGCTAAGAGCTAGGGATACAGCAAAGAATGAGACATTATCCCTGCCTCTAACAAGCTTTCAGTGCAATGGGGTAGATAAGACATAAAGCTAACTAATAGTGTAATGTAATAAGCGTTATGTCCAACATATATATATATATATATATACACACATATATATGTATAAAATGGGCAGTGGTGATAGAATGATTCATTTTGTCTGGGTCATTAAGGCAGAGACAGTCATTAAGGCCTAAAAAAGAGACATTTGTGTTGGGACAGAAATATGCATTAGTCAGGTAGACAGGTGAGGGGCAGGGCATTCCTCTCCAGGAAAACGCAATGATGTCAGTGTATGCAACAGGCCAAAGAATGGGGATGTATTCAATTGTGGCTAGTTGTCTAGTTAGGATTAGCTTGTATAGTCATGTGTCACTTCATGACAGGGATACATTCTGAGAAATACGTTGTTAGGCGATTTAGTCGTTGTAAGAACATCGTAGAGTATACTTGCAGAAACCTAGATGGTATAACCTTATACACACCTAGGCTATGTGGTATAGCTTATTGCTCCTAGGCTCAGCTCTGTACAGCAGGTTACTCTACTGAATATTATAGGCTACTGTAACACAATGGTAAGCATTCCTATATCTAAACATAGAAAAGGTACAATAAAAATACAGTATTATATAATCTTATAGGACCACCATTGTATCTGTGGTCTCTCATTGACTGAAACGTCCTTAGGCGGCACTGGACAGTATTACTGTAACTAGAGATGACCTTAGAAAGGCAGGCAGAGCCAAGGTGGTGGAGAGCATTGTGAACCCTTTGAACCTTCACTGGAGGGGCTGTATTTAACCAAGAGATATACAAAATAAGATTTACAAATTAGAAATATCATTCTAGTAGTGGAGGCAAAGAGAGTGGTTAGAAAGATATGAGAAAAGATGCAGTCCTGAGCTATGGCACCGCTGGAATGAATGAGAAAAAGAGAGAAAGGGAAGAAGGAGTAGAGCATGAAAGAGAGGTAAGGAAACAAGGAAGACCCTCCGCTGATACTGGTTTTCGGGGACTTTGATCAACAGAGGCAATTTAGGAGTAAATTTTTCCCAGACTCTTCTCAAAATTCAAATAGCCAGAAGATGTATAATAAGATCTGTTAGTGAAATAGGCTCTACTTACTCCACAAATTGCTGCTTCTAATATCCTTAAACCTAATATTAAATAATATTAAAATAATACCAGTAATAGTAGTTCACATGGCTTAAACGTTTACACTACATCAATTCTTCCCACCTTTGTGAATTTGCATTCCAGTAACCTTGGCTCCACCATGCCACTGGAAATCAGGTGCAAATCTAGTAGGGTGAATTTGGGTTGCTAACCCCATTGAGAGCCTCATGTTTCTGTGTAGGTTGGCTTTATGCCTTGAAAATAGTAGGCTCTTCCAGGAATTTTGCTTTGTTGACCCAAATAAAAACTTAATCCTCTTGCAAGACATTGATATGGAAACTAGAATGTTAGAGTTTTACAGAATTAGAAACATAATTCAAAATTGCAATATTTTTCTAATAATCAACTTAAGTTTTAATTTGTGAACGAAGTTGAATGTTGACACACAGAGATATATTTCACATTTTCTTGATTTGCCTGTATAAATCCTAGATCATTCAAATCACTTTTTAGACAAAGTAATCAACACAGGCATTCAAAGGACACACATTGCAATATAAATGATAAACACTACAAGCGAAATTAATCTAGGAATTGATGAGGTTCCCAAATAAGCAAGTTGTGGCAGACTATTGCCTCCCCACTCCCAAATCTGTTCTTTCTCTATTCTTAGATACACAGATGAGCTATTTAAAGTCAATATTAGGCTGAGCACAGTGGCTCACACCTGTAATCCCAGCACTTTGGGAGGCCAAAGCAGGCAGCTCGCTTGAGGCCAGGTGTTCGGGATCAGCCTGGCCAACATGGTGAAACCCCATCTCCACTAACAATACAAACATTCTCTGGGTTTGGTGGCACACATCTGTAGTCCCAGCTACTCAGGAGGCTGAGGCAGTAGAATCGCTTGAACCTGGGAGGCGGAGGTGCAGTGAGCTGAGATCATGCCATTGCACTCCCGCCTGAGCAAAGGAGCGAGACTCCAGCTCAAAAAAAAAAAAAAAAAAAAAAAAGTTCCTCAAGAGAGTTTGATCCCTCCCTACCATGTTTGAGAACCAATCCTATTAAAATAAAATCCTAATAAAATAAAAATAAAGTTAATATTTCCTAGCCTTCCTTGCAACTAAATATGACACATGATTAAGTTCTGTGAGCAGAATTGTTGGCTGCAACTTCATGACACTTGCTTAAAAGAAATTTGTCCTGGGCCAGGCATAGTGGCTCATGCCTATAACCCCAGCCTTTTCAAAGGCCAAGGCAGGAGGATCACTTGAGCCACAGGAGTTCAAGACAAGTCTGGGCAACATAGATAGACTTTGTCTCTGCAAAAAATAAAAATAAAAAATTTAGCTGGGCATGATGCCACACATCTGTAGTCCCTGATACTCAGGAGGCTGAGGCAGGAGATTGCTTGAGCCCTGGAGATTGAGGCTGCAGTGAGCTATGATCACACTACTGCATTCCAGCCTGGGCAATAAGAGTGAGATCCTGTCACAAAAAAAAAAAAAAAGGAAAGAAAGAAAGAGAGAAAGAGGAGAAAGAAGATAAAGAGGAGAAAGAAATGAGTGAAGGAGGGAAGGAGAAAAGGAAAAGGAAGGAAAGGAAGGAAGGGAGAAAGGTGGTGGGGAGCAGCAAGGGGAGAGAGAGAAGAAAGAGAAAGAAAGGAAAGAGAGAAAGAGAGAGAGAGAAAGGAAAGAAAGAAAGAAAGAGAGAAAAGAAAGAAAAGAAAGAAAGAAAGATAGATTTGTCCTGAACTTGTGGCCCTTTCCAAAGACAGCAATGATACTGAAATACCAACTTCAACTACAAAGACCCGGACAATTCCCTGGGAGACAAAAGAGCTACGGGATGAAAGGAACCTGCGTTCCTAAATAACCTCCTGGAGCAGAGCCGCTTCTCCAGCATAGATTATATTTAGGCTACCGTAGTTGTGTTTTTTTTAAGCTACAGTGTTTTCAGGTCTCCGATACAGCAGCCTAATCTTCTCTATAACTAATAATCAAGATTACAAAACAATCTCATGGTATATTTGAATTGTTTTCTCTCTGAAATCTCATGGCCTTTCTCCAATTTGGTATATAATATATCTAATTTTTTTATCAGCCTACTTTTCCAGACTCCCCTCCTGCTCAGTCTCTCTCGGCTGCCTCCTCATCCTAGCCACAAAAAATGACTGAGTTTTCCCTTTTTATCACCTCCCAAATATACCATACATGTTCATCCCTCTTTTTCCTTGTTTGTATGATTCTTTTTGCCCAGAAGACCCTGAAGTTGTCTCCCTGTTTCACCCATTTTCTCAAGGACCAATTTAATGTTGTTTCCCAACTCCCATAGGCGGAATTGGTCAATCTCCTCTGTGTTCTCTAACATCTTACACTCATCTAAGACCGCTCTCTTCACATTCTACATCAGTTATTTATTTGTGTGTCTGTCCACTGAGCTATGGGCTTCTTGAAAATGCAGTTATTTTATTCATCCTTGAAAGCTTATAAGCAAAGTGCCACAGTAGATCTTCAGTAAATGTTTGGTGAATTAATATGTAAATGACAGGAACAATGGTTACTTTTTCTAGACTTGCGTTCTGATAGAAAACAAGGTCAGGAGTATGGCTAATGCAAGACAGGGCATTATCACAAGGGTGGAATTGTCAGTATAACTAGCAGGGCATTGAATTTGCCTTTCACAGGCCTTCCACACAGGTCATCACCTTTAACCTTCCTACTGCATAAGTGGCTTAGACTTTGTCATTCCCATCACAAAAATGAAGAAACTAAGGCTCAGAAAACTATGGGGAGTTTGTTACTCAAAGTCATTCTCTTAATGAGTAGTTAAATAGAATATTTAATTCATTTAGAATTGCTCCCCAAAGCTCTCGCCATTGTATCTGCCTTAGGAAAGGCTTCAGGATTCAGTTTTTTAAAATACAATGTTGATGGTTAGCTGGCTGTAATCATAATCAAAGGTAAGCATATGGTCGCATCCTTCTTATCTTCGACACACCACAATAAACTGCAGAAGACCAAAAATGATGTCCAATTGAAAAATGATATTCAACTGAGCTGCTGAGATGACCAGCAGAAAAAATCTTGACTAAAGTAAAGGCCGAGGCTGGGTGTGGTGGAGACTCCTGTGATCCCAGCACTTTGGGAAGCCAAGGCAGGTGGATCACTTGAGGTCAGGTGTTTGAAACCAGCCTGGCCAACATGGCAAAACCGCATCTCTACTAAAAATACAAAAATTAGCTGGGTGTGGTGGCAGGCACCTGTAATCCCAGCTACTCCGGAGGCTGAGGTACAAGAGTCGCTTGAATCCTGGAAGCGGAGGTTGCAGTGAGCAGAGATCACGCCACTGCACTCCAGCCTGGGCGACAGAGCGAGACTCTATCTCAAATAAATAAATAAATAAATAAATAAAAGGTAGCAAAGTATGAGTTTACAATTCACAGAAGCAGAAAGCTGAAAGGGAACTCAGAAGTCTCCAACCACCACATTTTACAGATGATAAAACTGAAAGTAGCACAGTGAAGTATCAAGCTCATGGCCACACAGTTGGTAAAGAATTCATCCCCAGTCCAGTGCCAGTTTCATTACTTCATGCAAAGGATATTCTGCAGGAATGGGAAAGGCGTGAATAACTGTCTCTGGTATCAACATAGAAAAGAGGTCTGAGAAAGTGAAGACATACTGCTGGTAGATCTGATAGAAGAAAGAAAATGGGTAATTGTCTAAACTGAAAAAGTGGCTATAAAATCCAGGCTAGCACTTGAAGATTTACCCAAACATGTTTAGACAGATAAAGGATAATTTTTCAGGAAAAACAAATGAGGCAGGAGTGAGAGAAACAGTCTAGAACTGTAACATAGAGAGTAGTGACTTGAATTTTATGTAGTTATTTAGAGACAGGGTCTCTCTCTCTCACCCAGGCTGGTGTGTGGTGGCACCAACATGGCTCACTGCAGGCTCAACCTCCCTGGCTCAAGCAAGCCCCCTGCCTCAGCTTCCCAAGCAGCTGGGACTGCAGGCCCGCGGCACCACAGCTGGCTAATTTTTGTGTTTTTTGTAAAGTCAGGGTTTCATTATGTTGCCCAGGCTGGTCTTGAACTCCTGGGCTCAAGCAATCCTCCTGCCTCGGCCTCCCAAAGTGCTGGGATTACAGGCATGAGCCTCTGTGCCAGGCTGTGAATTGAATTTTTGAGTTGTGGGCTTAATATGCTTTCCTATTCTTTACTCTTGGTGACCTTGGGACAGTTTAATTTCCCTGACAT